>NC_000010.11:54840064-54991580 GCF_000001405.40 Homo sapiens
AAGTTGGAATAAATGGACACTAAGTAACAACACGAAAATATATGAAAGTTTCAAACTCACTGGTATAGTTAAATAGACAGGCAAATTCAGAATACTCTAATACTATAATGACCGAGCATGAATCAGTTTTACCTCTAGTTGAAAATTTAAAAATCAAGAGTGTTAAAAATAACTACAACTACAATCATTTTTTAATGGATGCACAAATATAAAAAGAGGTAAAGTGTAACATTGATAGCACGAAGTCTGGGTGGGAGATGTAAAAGTGTAGAGTTTTTATAGCAATTTAGTTAAGTTGCTATCAGCTTAGAATACATACCTATAACTATAAAATATTTTATATAAGGTTTGTTGTAACCACAAAGAAGTTTCTAGTAGGCACACAAAATATAAATAGAGAAAAATCAAAAGAAAGTAGTGGAGAAAAATCATCAAATCACAAAGACAGGAGGAGAAAAAGAAAGGAACAAAGGAAGTATAAAACAGTCAAAATATTAACAGAATGGCAAAACTAAGTCCTTACTTATTAATATTTAAGTTTAAATGAATTAAATTTTCTAACGAAAAAGTAAAGAGTGGCCAAATGAATTTCAAACCTCTAACAATATGATACATACAACAGACTCACCTTGACTTTAAGAATATATATAGTCTAAAATGGAAGGAATATAAAGGATAGTCTATAAAATAGTAACCAAGAGAGAGCAGAGTAGGAATACTTCGTTCAGACAAAATAGACTTGTAGTCAAAATCTGTCATGTGACAAAGAAAATCAATATATAACAACAAAAGTATTGATTCATCGAGAGGATATAATGATTGTAAATATATATGCACCCAACAATAGATCTAAGTATATAAAGGAAATGTTAACAGAACTGAAGGGAGAAGTAGACAGCAGTACAATAATAGTAAGAGACTTCACCACCCCAATTTCCATACTGGATAGATCATCCAGAAAGTCAATAAGGAAACAGCAGACTTTAATAATACTACCAAATTGAGCTAACACACATGCACAGAACATTCCACCCATAAACAGCAGTATATAAGTTCCTCTCAACTGTACATGAAACATTCTTCAGGGTATACCATATATTGGACCATAAAACAAGTCTCAACAAATTTTAAAAGACAGAAATTATATGAAGTATGTTTCTGACCGCATGATATGAAACTAAAAATCAACAAAAGGAGGAAAACTGGAAAATTCGCAAACGTGGGAATTAAACAACACACTCAAAAACAACCAATGAGCAAAAGAAGAAATAAAGAGAGAAATAAAAAAGCATCTTAAAATTTTAAAAACACAACATGTCCAAACCTCTTGGACACAGCAAAAGCTGTCCTAAGAAGGTAGTTTATAGTGATAAATGCTTACATTAAGGAAAAGAATTCCAAATAAATACCTAACTTTACATATCAAAGAACTAGGGAAAAAAAATCTTTTCAGGCCTAAGTTAGCAGATGGGCAGAAATAATAAAAATTAGAGCAACAAATAATATAAAGACAAAAAAGGAACTATAGAAAATTTTATTGTTAAATATATTTCAATAAAGCTGGTAAAAATGCATAAAAGTTTTAAAAATAATGGCTTTAAGCTAATATTTTCTCCAATTTACATTAATTTTAACTGAAAAAAATTTAAAGTTCACCAATTACTTCAATTTGCATTCAGTTTGTTTTCTAAAATAAAAATAGAAAAAATTAACATTTCAATTAAATATATAATGCATATTATTACAATCATTTTTTGAAGACATTTGTCATTTTAAACAGATAGATCTGTAGCACTCTCTTATTCTTCCTGCATATGTGCCTATAGTGATGTCTAGACTGATAATTACCTGATATAAACAATGTTTATTTTTATATGATGCCATATTAGTTCTGTATTGCTTAAGTTCATTTCAATAAGCACATATGCTATTTTCCAGGGGGAAGAGGGTCAAATTAAGAGAATAAATCACATCATAGGAAATAAAGATCTTTAGTTATATCGAGGAACTTGAAATTGGACTTATTCTCTTATGTAACTACAAAATTCATAAACGTTCATGATAATTTCAAATCTGTCAAGCTACTGAAAAGAGAAAGGAAAAGTGTGTGTATGTGTGCGTGTGTGTGTGTGTGTGTGTGAGACAGAGAGAGAGAGAATATGAATAAATGAGACAGATTTAATTGGTAGAGTCTTCGTAATTTTATTTTTTCTCCATCCAGACCTATTGTTAAAATTATTAACTATTAGCACCCTTTCTTCTACAACATATCTTTTGTTAATGTCTCCCTCAAATCATTTCCTCTGATTCTAGTAACTCACACTTAGTAATTTGTGACCTGCCCGTCTGCATCCATTTCTTAGAGCAATGAATCTTTGCTACTCCATCAAGGTTCAAAACTCAGGAGGAAACCTTGTCATTAAATTCTATAAGGAAATCATCTAAGGTTCTAATTTTAAAATATGTTTTGAAATTCTACTAAGATATTCTGTAGATGTGTGAGGTAAGCATAGATTAGGAATAATGTAAATTGCTACAACTATATATAAAGTCAAAGAATCTTAATGTATTTGTGGACTTTGTAGTTAGTCTGCTTACATCCTTGCTCCAATTTATGTAACTACAACAGCGATTATCTTATTTATTTTGTATACAGTCAGTAAAATTCAACTTTATTTTGTATGGTATTACCTCATATAAAAAAATCTCTAGGACACAGACTGAAGCATCTTTTGGATAATGAAAGTCTTATGTTTTCTAGTACAGGTGTTTAATAGCAAGCAGCTTTCATATGGAAATTCCAGGGTAAATAGGTTTGCTGTTGCCAAAGGAAAAGGAAGGCAGGCATTATTGGGAGGAAAATAAAAAGAAATAAGTGTCATCGTATGTTAATGTAATGAAAACTGACTATCGGAAAGAACAAAGATATCAGAGCTGAAATATAGTCCATCTCCAGCTTATACGATCCTTTAAGGGTCAAGGAGCTCTGACACACATTTCAAATAGTTTTCAAAATGTAATACTGAGAGCATACCCTCAGCAGTATCTCAGCAGTATCCAGAAAGCCCTTAAAAGTCAATCTTAATAAAGCATTCTTTTCATTGTTGTTGTATCGTTTGGCTTCATGAACTTTAGGGAGAACTGAACAAGTAAAGCTGTGCCCTGGCAGTTGAAAAATTGGCATGGAAAATAATTGGCATCCTGCTCAAGGGAGAGGGATTTGAGCCAAACAAAGGTACCTCCTATATTAATATGTAAGCTTAACAATCAGGCAAATCTAATGCCGCCAGACTTCTGGGTCAGAATATTAACATTTCCTTCTGACATGCTCGAGCTGGAGTTTAATGCCAAGAAATGCATTTATAATTAGAAAACATCTTAATTGTGATTTATGTGTGTCTGACAGGCTGACACTTGATCTTTACTTACTCTCTTACTGACTTAACGTTATTTTTATGTCCTGAGAGACATAACTCAAATTGAAGATTTTGCTTGTCGACTTTATATTCTGATAGTTATTTAGCTTTTCTACACACACATCATACATTTGCTCAATTCTTATATTTTAACATTTTATAACATAGAGTGAATTTCATTAAGATGATTTCATTAAGATAATTTGACGATTGTTAACATGACAAAACTAGTCAAAAGAGTTTGCTTCAATAAACGTAGTAAATAAAGTTAAAAAGTAGTAAAAGTGCTAGACAAGCAATTGAAATTTCTGAACAGTTCCCTGATACATCTTACGGGGATCAGTGTTTTGAGTCCCCAGTTGGAAAATACATGACAAATGGCAATGAACAATTGGACAAATGGCAATTGGAAAATACATGACAAATGGCAATGAACACAAAAATACGATTTAACATGTCTTGTGACTGTTTATCAAAATAGGAAAATAGTTTTAGCATAGAATCTCATTTCAAAATATAACACAGAGCATGGCTGAAATAACTTTTCTTATATATTTCAGTGTTATCCTACTGAGTTAAGAAAGGCATGATTTAAAAGAGGTAAAAGTATGTCCACATCATTCAACCACAGGATGAAGGCTAATTATATCTACACAGCCAGTTCCATTTGGCAAATACAAATAGATAAGAGGTGCTAGTGATGATTCAGATGCCTTGGAAAGCTACAGTAATACTTTCACAAATCTTATTTTTTATGAAATATAAATGTGTGTGTTAGTGAGGGGAGAGACAGAGACAGAGAAAAAGAACAAACTATTTGTTAAAATCAAGATACAGTACATTTTGAGGAGATGCTAGAACTCAAGAACAACTTACCTTGTTAACTGGAGCCCTGCTATTTATATAATATCACTCTCCCTACTTTTTAAACAGAAATTTAGGCATATGCCTTCATAGTGCTGACACATATATGCTTTCCCTCACTCTTGCTTTGATGGATTCACATATATGCTTTCCCTCACTCCTGCTTTGATGGGATGGATTCACATATATGCTTTCCCTCACTCCTGCTTTGGTGGATTTATGATGGATTTTCTTCACTCGTGATTTGGTGCATCCTGAGTAAAGGCAAGTTTTCTTTTGCTTTTTTTTTGAATATTAATAATTTTTCAGAAATATGTATCCACATGCAGCAGTCACTGAAAACACTGTTAACACTAAGAAGTTCAGAAATAAAATTCAATCTCACTGCCTCAATGTTAACTATTAAAATAATAAAGTTTATGAACTTTGGGAGAACTTTTCAATAAATTTCCACTATGAATTTGATGACGGCCATTATGCATGCACTTGATGTTTTTTCAGAAATTTTGTTTCAATAATGACTTTTAAAAAAACGTAGCCTTAATTTAAATGTTTCAGAGCAATTACTTTTATTTTAGCCTCAAAAAGCAGAATTAAGAGCAGGCTTTTTAAAATTACCACTACTTTCATTTACTTTTCTTCTGCTTTCCTGAGTTCTTTTTAATGAAAAATCATGTTGAAATTAAGATTTATAATTTTAATTTAAAATTACGTTTAATAAGGGATTTTAAAATAATTCTTAGAATCAAATCTTTTAGAAAAGGAAAAGCCTTTTTTTCTTTTTTCTTTTTTCTTTTTTTTGCAATGTGCTTAATTACTTACCTGAATGTTCATTATGTTAATTTTATAATTTTAAGTGATGTTTAACTCATTATGGCAAGAAAATAGCACAGAAAACAATGGAATAGCTATTCCTGAATTGCCACATAATACCTGGGAGAAAACTAAGGGTTTTCTGGCTTGAGGAAGACATTAGTGTACTTCACAAAAGACTTTGGTTGACAGGGAAGTGAATACTGAAATCCAAAAGGAGATCCACTTCCCATTACTTGCTTCCTCGATCAAGGTTGGGTCAAACTAGAGAATGAAACATGTTTTGGATTTTTCTCTACAGAGAAAGTTGCCATTCCGTAATTTGACCAAAAATGCCAGTGATACTAGTTAATTTACTGAAGGATGTGGTCTAAATTCTGCATGTAATTGGGCAGGGAATAGCCAAAGCCTTATACAGGCTTTTATTATCTATTATATTAATATTCTTTATGAAGTCTTAAGAGAATTGAAGTTTTCTGATGCTTCCCAGGATAAAATTTTGAATAGACAGAGAAAGGCTCTTGCTGTGAGAAAGTTTACATTCAGTTGGACATAGCAAAGTGTAATACGAATGGTAAGAAGAGTGAAAAGTAACCCATGAGAAAAATGAGACAGCTCGGGGAATGAATGTAAAGATGTTCACTGTCTTTAACATGCAATTTTTTTGGAAGTCAAAATGACTGGATATTGACTGAAATAATTAACTTCCTAAATACTAGATTGTCACCACATCCAATGCCTATGAACCAGGTAAATAATTTGAAATACAGTTTTCCCTGACCAGAAATGTATTTTTTAATCTAATGACTGTGTAATATTTCCACTTAAAAAGCGCATAATTTATTTTCTAAAAACCATTTAATATGGTTTTATATTCTTATACTAATTACTTACCTTTACTGCATATTAAATATGACACCAAAGAAAATCTAGTAATGTCTGAAAATGTTATTTTCCCCAATTTGCTTGTTGATATTGCTGCTATGTAACTGCATCACTAATACCACCTGCACTTCACCTGGACATATTGGAAAATAATGTTTCAATGTAATAAAACACACAGTATCACAAGTGTTATCAACATGTTTTTGTATATTTTTGCTCATTATTCTAAAGTTTAAAAGAATGGATAATCTTCTAGAAAAAAATTTTTTAGGTCAACTATTAAACACCCATGTGTGTGGCCACTTCAATGGCAGGTCCCTCGGGGTTTGTTAAATCATTGCCGAATGAATGAATGATGAATAAAATAATTTTTCTGTCCCAACTTGAAGCTATTCATGTGTCTCTTTTATATTAGGGCCTGATTCTTCTACATTTTTGAAGGTTTTTTGAGGGAGGTAAGGTCTTTGAGGCAGGGTGGGGAAATGCATCCGGCAATCTACCATTCGGCCATCATACCAAACTCAACATCCTTTTTAACGTATGAAAAAAATCTACCTTTTCTTCTCATTTGTTTAACAGTGCAGCTTTTCTTCTTCTTTTTTTAAAATAGGAATTGCGAGGAAAGGAGAGCTGTGCAAGGATATATTGTCACTGCTAATGAATAGAACTTGGCATGACTTTCCTTCCACCTGTAACCAATTATTAAGCCAAAACCATTTCCTGCCAATACACTAATTGTTTTAGGTGACAGGTCTGTGAATTCATTGCTGCCCAACCTGACTAACCCTTAAGGAAAAAAAATAAAATTCTATAAAACTAAGAGATAGCAGAATAGATGCGGATGTTACACTGCATTTGAGTACGATATAAGGTACATATAATGCACGTGTTGTACATTACTTCATTTACATTATCACCCATATCATTTATCCTACGCCACATCAAAGTTTACTGTTGGAAAGATAATTTTGTGAAAAGTTAATTGCTTAGAATTCTTGGCCTCAGCTTCAAATGAGTGAATATCTCTGAAAGGTTTGTCACTGATCCACCTTTTGAGGATTTTACTAACTGCTCCCTACTGGTTCTTTTTAAATATGTGAAAAATGCATAGACTTTGTCTGACCTTCATGATTCATAATCATGAAGACTAAATCAATTTGCTTGCTTTCTGCTATCTTTTAATCTAAGTAGCACTGTCCTAATAAAACAAAACCCAAACTTCACATGTTTTAAATGAAGTGCTATAAAAATAGACTTGCAGTATCGCATTTTAGAATGTTACTTTGAGGTATTTTTCTCATGTATACTGTAGCCTTAATATGTACTTAATTGTCTTATATTTTAATATATTTTGTACAATTATATTGTTCTTTTATTAATATTTTATCTTATTTTTCCCATTAAGACTAATCCTCCTTTTTAAGTATAGTTTTACTCTTCAACTACACTCAGAGTAACTCTGTCCTCCAAATACACATATTCCACCTAGAATCTCAGGAATCAATTATAATTTACCTGGAATTAAATTGAATAATTTAGGTGTTGTAACACTGTACACCACACAATACACTTCAGGACATTGTTTTATCTGCTCTGTGATAACTAGCATACTGAAATTGTATTAATTTTTACTCTACTTACAAATTAAATTTGATTTAAGCCAATGGTGGAAAGGGATATGAGAAGGGTGTGGTTGAATAAATGTGTATTGAGCACCCACATATATGTCTACTATTTTAAGCCTCATTAAATTCACTAGTATTTTTCTCCATTACAAATGAGAATACTGATGTTCAGAATTTTCAAGAACATTGCTCAAACTGAGGACTGCTAACCCATGGCAGGCACAGGACTTGAATATACTGCAGTCTGATGGCCAAGCCCATATACTTTGTATGATACAGTACTGAATGTTATGAATGTTCCCTCCAAAACTCATGTTGAGACTTGATTTCTAATGTGGCAGTGTTAAGTGAAGTATTTGGGAGGTGACTGAATCATGAGGGATCTGCCTAGTGACTTCATGGGTTAATGGATTAAAAGGTTAATAAATTAGTCCAGTGCATTGGCTCATGCCTGTAATCCCAGCACTTTGGGAGGCCAAGGTGGGCAGGTCACCTGAGGTCAGGAGTTTGAGACCAGCCTGGCCAACATGGTGAAACTTCATCTCTATCTACCAAAAATAGAAAAATTAGCTGGGCATGGTGGCAGACGCCTGTAATCCCAGCTACTTGGGAGGCTGAGGCAGGAGAATCCTTGAACCTGGAAGGCAGAAGTTGCAGTGAGCCGAGATTGCGCCTCTGCACTCCAGCCTGGGCAACAAGAGCAAAACTCCATCTCAAAAAAAAAAAAAAAAAAAAAGCTAATTAATTAATCAGTTATTACGGGCATAGAACTGGTGGCTTTTCAAGAAGAGAGAGACTTGAGCATGCTAACATGTAGCACACTCAGCCCGCTTACCAAGTGATATGCTGCACTGCCTTGAGACTTTGCAAGAGACCCCACCAGCAAGAAGGCTTTCACCAATGATGCCTCCTCCATCTTGGACTTCTCAACCTCCACAACTATAGAAAATGAATTTATTTATTTATAAATTACTCAGTTTCAGTTATGCTGCTATATGCAATAGAAAACAGACTAGTACATTGACCCTGATCACACCACTGTTAATAAAATATTTTTAGTGCTTTTCTGTGCCTCCATTATTTTAGAAACTTCACATATATTTATTTCATTCAATCTTCAAGAATTTGTTGTAAACCTGAGGCATTAGGACTAATTTCAGCAGAGAGGCTAGATGAGGTCTTGCTGAAAATGCAGTATGTAAGCTGAATCATACAACATTATTAGGATTTAGCCAAGTGAAGACTAAAGAAAATTGAAAGGCATTCCAGGGAGAAAATGCTATATAAAATTATTTATGATCCATATGCCATTGATATGGCCGAACATAAACTTTATTGCCCTGCATATCTTAATTTGTTATCTATAAAATTTAAAAAAAATTACGTTGAATAATTTTGCTTTTGCTAAATTACGTGTTTCCCTTTCTTATTAATACATATGCTAAAGATTGCTTTGTTTCTAATAACATGTTCAGTTAAATTTGTAGTAAAGCTTAGTAAATTTCACCTTCTTCTTTCTTCAATGAAAAAAAAACTACGCTTTCTGAATTTCAGCCCATTTTTGTCTTTAGCATGCTGTTAAATCCTCACAAAACCTTTCTGTGTCTTCTTCTGCTTACTACTGAGCCCTGGGATCTGAGCTCTTTGAGTCAAGCCTTTGTAAGAAATGATGGCTTAATTATCTTATCTGCTTTCTTTTTATCTTCCCGACCTTTTTCCAAATCTCTTGGCTGTTTCCCTCTGTTCCTTTGTGAATAAATGCGAAGCTTTAATTTAGGCCATTTTTCATAACCCATGCACCTACTGCTAAGTCGGCACTCATCTCCAGGTTGTTCTGCCCTTTGTCACTCGGCTCGACTACTTTCCAGAATGACCTATTTCCGCTGGGGCTTTTGATTCACTGGCCATCCATATAATACTAAAAGTAAAAATGACTTTCTAATTATTGTTATGATGATGGGTGCATTAGTTTTTATTTAAAGTCATACAACACCCACCCAATCATATTATTATGTTGGTGCAAATAATTGTGGTTTTTGCCAATCATTTCAAAGGAAAGAACCGCAATTACTTTTGCACCAACCTAAATAGATTGGAATCAAAATGAAGTTGACTATAAATACTTCCAGAGTGGAAGTCTTGATTGATATATCTTTGAATCTTTAATATTTATCAAATATTTACAATGTGGTTGAACCGATTTGTGGTTTTCAGTTAATATCACTTAATATTCATAATTAGGATTCTATGACTATTTGAAGGGTATATCATGACCTGATCTGTGTTAGGATAAAATAAATGGTGGGATTGGGAGAGGTATCAGATACTGAGACAGAATTTAACATGTTCACAGAGATTCTGAGACAATTGTCTAACAATCTATGGATAATAAATTCTTTAAATTTTGAAAATTTACCAAATTTTCAAAAATGTACTTTAGTTGCTTAAACATATAAAGCAATATATATGGCATAAAACGATTTTTAGTGACTTTTAATAATATCTACCAATTTTTTGCTAAGAAGATTTTTCTTAGTTCTCTCAGCAGCATTTACATCAATACTCGATTTGTGAAATGATAAAAATCATAAGATGGTTTGGTTTTCTTAGGCATATATATTTTTATTTTTTATTTCCATAGAATTTGTGGGAACAGGTGGTATTTTGTTACACGAGTAAGTTTCTTAGTGGTGATTTGTGAGATTTTGGTGTACCCATCACCCAAGCAGTATACAATGGGCCCAATTTGGAGTCTTTTATCCCTCACCCACTTCCCAACCTTTCCCCTGGAGTCTGCAAAGTCCATTGTATCCTTCTTATGCTTTTGCATCCTTATAGCTTAGCTCCTACTTGTGAGTGAGAACATATAATGCTTGGTTTTTCCATTCATTCTTAGGCATATATTTAATATTTGGGAATGTTTGTTTCATAATGTATGTGTAACCCAAATTTCAGCAGAAGACTGACACCACAACCCTGCTATATTCATTATGAATATAAAATTGAAGAGAAAGGTTCCAACACAGCTACATAAAATTGAAATGCCAAAGTTTTGGTTATTATTGCTAGAAGTACAAAATTAAATCACATATGCTACTTGAGAGTTTGCCAAATTATAATGTAAGTAATTACATTTACATTCCAGGAAAATAATATATAAAACATCTGAAAAATTCAGAAGTTGCTGAAACAACCCTATATCAGATGAAACACTAAAATGTTGATTTCTAACAAGGAGCAATTGGAATATATCAATGTGGCAGTTGACTGTAGAGGGCTTTAGCATGGAAGAGTAAGATGATCAATGCAGAAATAAGGAAATGTGAAATCTTAGAAAGTATCATATAACACAAACTGTGACTAGCGTTTTAGTTTATATGCTGATCATAAATATGATCTTTTGATTTTTCAGAGCTTTTTCAATATTTGGAAGGCAAATAAGGTATTTTGACCATAAATATGGAAAAAGGATCAAAAATTAAGTAGGCCAGATGGATACCCCATTCTCCACAACGTAATCATTACACATTGCATGCCTGTATCAAAACATCTCATATATCCCCATAAATGTATATAGCTACTATGTACCCACAAAAATTAAAAAAGGAAGTTTTAAAAAAATTAGTCAAAAATGCTAAAAAGACTAAAAAACAAGTATGGAAGATACATTTTTAAAATGACAAAATAAATATTATAGTAAATTTTGACTACTAATTACTATAAATTATTAATAAATATGGTGTTTGAGATATTGACAAAGTAATTCTTGAGATAACAGACAAAAGCATAAAAATAGAACTATGGAAACTGTCTTCAGAGATTATTTAACACCAGTCAATATAAACTAACACAAGCCCTTATGGTATGCTGAAACTTTTATTACTGGTTAAAATATATTGTCTGAGTATTTTATGTGTGTGTGTGTATAGTTGTTATTGTCATTTTGAAATGGAGTCTCCCTTTGTCACCCAGGCTGGAGTGCAGTGGCATGACCTCGGCTCACTGCAACCTCTGCATCCTGACTTCAAGCAATTCTCCTGCCTTAGCCTCCCAAACTACGCCTGGCTAATATTTGTATTTTTAGTAGAGGCGGGGTTTTACCATGTTGGTCAGGTTGATCTCAAACTTCTGACCTCAAGTGTTCTGCCGGCCTCAGCCTACCAAATTGCTGGGATTACAAGTGTGAGCCACCACGACTGGCCTGATTATTATATAATTTAATACAAATTTTGGTAATAAAAATAAAGTTTTAAAATAACACATTTTATAGAAAACTGGTAAATTGGCCACTTTTTGAATTGGCCTATTCTTATACTGAGCTAATCCCCTATTTGGTTGAAGCATATAACAAGAGTTTAAATTTAATACATACATTGCTGCTAATCAGAAAGGTAGTAATACAGCGTTTATTATTTTCCAAAGCTCTGTTATATTGGCAGATGTAGAAAAATGAGCATCCAAGGTCTGCAGACATAAGTGACAAAGAGAAATGATCACAAAATTATTTTTGGTATCTAGGGAGATCACAATGTATGAATGAAAAAGCATAATATGTATATTGAGTAAATTGTTTCTAATGGTTTTATTCTTGCTGAGTTCTTAGAAGGAAATTTCCATCAGCTGATTAAAATGGCAATAGCTCATCTCCACCCTGGATACTGTCCCTTTCAGTAATATATAACCTGGAGAGACACAAACATAAAGTGATTACTGCAATAGAAGGTGGAAAATGCCTCTTAAAGAGGATATGAGATTATGGAGGATGTGACATTAGGCCAGGGTACACACTGATGTTATAGAAAAGGTTTCCCAGAGAAAATATCTGAGCTTTCTGCCAAAAGAGAACTCCTACAAAAAATATAAAAAGAAACTGTGGTAAAGTGTTTGAAATAAGTTTATTTTAGGCCGGGTGCAGTGGCTCATGCCTATAATCCTAGCACTTTGGGAGGCCGAGGCAGGTGGATCATGAGGTCAGGAGTTCAAGACCAACTTGGCTAAGATGGTGAAACCCCGTTTCTACTAGAAATACAAAAAAATTAGCAGGGTGTGGTGGTAGGCGCCTGTAATCCCAGCTACTCAGGAGGCTGAGGCAGGAGAATCGCTTGAACCTGGGCAACAGAGGTTGCAGTGAGCTGAGATCACGCCACTGCACTCCAGCCTGGGCAACAGACTGAGACTCTGTCTCAAAAAAATAAAATAAAATAAAATAAAATAAAATAAATTAAAATAAAAGTTTATTTTATTTTAGTTAATTTGGTATACAGACAGATACATAAAAATCTTAAAATGCCACACTATCAATAGTATTACAGGCCTGGTGCAATGGCTCACGCCTGTAATCCCAGCACTTTGGGAGGCCGAGGCAGGCAGATCACCCGAGGTTGGGAGTTAGAGACCAGCCTGACCAATGTGGAGAAACCCCATCTCTACTAAAAATACAAAAGTAGCTGGGCATGGTGGCGCATGCCTGTAATCCCCGCTACTTGGGAGGCTGAGGCAGGAGAATCACTTAAACCTGGTTGGCGGAGGTTGTAGTGAGCCGAGATTACACCATTGCACTCCAGCCTGGGCAACAAGAGCTAAACTCTGTCTCAAATATATATATATGTGTATGTATGTGTGTATATATATATATATATATATATATATATACATACACACACATATACATATATATACATATATATATACACACACACATATATATATACACATACATACATATATATACACACACATATATATACACATACATATATATATACACATACACATATATATATATACACATACATATATATATATATATAGTATTACAAATAACTGCTCCCATTGTTGAATAAAAATGCCATGTTGAGTTTGTAGAAGAAATCTCATAAATCTCACCAGCCCACTTCATGTGTGTATTTACCAAATATAAATCAAAAATACCTTCCTTGTATTCCTAAAATTAAAAAAGCTCTGGAAAAAAAAAGATTTTTTTTTCACTAAAATTGTTTTTAAATGCATTTGGCAGCAAAACTTGAACTGAATAGACAGGTTTTCTAGAAAAATATTAATGGGTATGATGTGTAATATCTGTCAGGAACCCATCAGGAGGATTACATAATTTATTGGATATGCATCATATTACATTTACAAAACGTTCTTTTCAAGTTTTAATTTTGAAACATAACTGGCAGCAAATGTTTATGCCACAAGATCTTTGGGGTGTTGTTTTTATGGCCAGAAACCTCTGTGGCTGGATGTGCTTTTGCCCAAGTTTTGCTCAGGCCCGCTGGGTTCGTTTTGCCCACTTGGCCTGGCAGGCTGTGCTAGGCTTATGCTACCAGCCTGGGTCCCATGCCTGCCAAAGGCGAGTCAGGCATAGAATGGCGAGGGGTGTGTGAGCAAGCATGGGATCTGGCCACTGCACACAGTCAGTCATGAGAGCTGCTGCAGCGGGACGGGCAGCTCCTGATGCTAACATAGGCACTGACTCTCTGCAAGGCTGTGGCCAAACCAGGCACACCACAAGCAGCTTCCATGGCTGGCACCAGGGAACATGGTTGCTCCTGGAAGCTTAGAGATGCCAGAAACTCCAGGGCCCCAAAGAGGGAGTCACAGCCCTGACTCAGGGGGCTCCCAGAGGGCTGCAACTCTTCTTTCCTTCTCTTCACCCACAATATGGTGAGCAAGGGGCATGTTTCAGCCCTATTTGTGTTACAGTTATTTTAGCCTCCTTTGCTCCTTCCACGGTAACCAAGTTATTGTCCTGTGCCCAGGAAGAATGAGGTACATAGACAACTGGAGAGTGAGCAAGACAAAAAGGAGCTTTGTTGAGTGATAAAACAGTTGAGAGGAAACCCGCAGGGGGAGCTCCTTTCTGCAGCCAGAGTGTCCCAATGAGTGTTCAGCTCCTAGGAGAGTGGAGACCCTGGAGTGGACAGCTCCTCTCTGCAGCTGATCATCCTGACATCTGCTGCTCTCTGCAGAGAGGAGGCCATGGTGTGGGTAGCTCCTCTCTGCAGCTGATCATCAGGACATCTGCCCAGCTCTGGCTGATCCCAGGGCTTTTATGGGCCTCAGAGTGGAGGTAGTGCATGCTGATTGGTCCATTAGTGGCCACGGGCAGGCCAGAGAAGGCACAACAAGCCCCCACTCTGGTCTGCAGAACTGGAGCCCAGCCCCCAGCCTTCAGGCACTCCCTGGCCTGAAGGTGGGGCATTACTGGGGACCCACCCCCTTCCACCCAGGAAACCTGTCTACCTTCTGCTGCCTCCATGGTGCCTATGCTGTAGATGCCAAGGGGCACCTGCAGGCCAGTTCCAAGCTATGTTAAAACCCCATCCACGTTTCTCTTAGGCTTGTCACTGGCCAAAGTTTGGAAGGGGCTGAGGCTGCAGGGGGCTGGCATGTCAGCACTGACCCAGTGTGTACACACACACCCGGGCTCGGGCCTGACTTTACTCCAAGAACAAAGCAAGTACCAACAGCAGGGAGAAGCCAGGCAGTGGTAGCAGGCATTTTCAAGCTTGCAAGGGCAGGGGAGGCCTTCCCAGGCCTCTAAAGGTGCAGGGATGCCTGGTTCTGCAGGTGCAGGAGCAGGAGACCCAGGTCTGCAGCTATGATGTGGGTATCTGCAGCTGCATCCAGGAGGATGGGACTCCTGCTTGCTCTTGGCTCTGAGAGCACAGGGAAGCCAGGGTCCACAGCCATGGCTTGGGCAGCTGCAGAGGCACCTGGGGAGCTCCCATCCCAACTCAGAAGAGATGGGGCCACTCCTGATGGTTAGCCACTGTCATCATTTAGAGTAAAAGATTATGGACTTGTATGATTTCATAGCATCCTGCATCAAAAATATTTTCTCCAATGTTCTGAAGCATGATAGGCTCAAATAAGCTTCCACTCCACAGAATTCTTAAATTGCTCTCAGATGAATTCTAGTGAATATCACAAATATAGTATCTGAGGATCTTTATATTGCAAATCATTAGTCCTGAATTGTGATTATTGAAGTAAGAGTTTAAAAAAGAATTTAAAATGTTATTCTAGGAATTAATTTTTTACTCAGAGAAATATGATCATCCTGCAAGGCCCAGAACATTAATGTGAATTTTTAACCAAGGCTTCCTGGTGCTTTCCCTGTGTTCACTGAGTAGCATTGACATAGGCTATGTTCCTTTTCACACTTGTCAATAGCAGAAGTCATTTGTGGCTCCTGAAAGCAAGAATGTATACTCTGGATATGCTTGGTTTAGATACATTAAAATCAACTAATGGCAATTTATAGGGAAAAATAGATTCCTTCCTACAAAGAGGGTGTTTTTTCATAGGCAAATAAACTGTTTGAGGAATAGAAACAGTATCAATTGCACATCTTTCTTCTTTTCCAATTGCGATAGTTAAGATTCATGCACAATGATTAATACATATGATTGTATTTAAATAGTATGATTGTAAGAAATATTTTTATAATAGTTTGTCATTTATCAACTATCTGCTTATTTGACAGATGCTAATGTAAGTGATAGGGATGCAGAGGTAAACTCAGTGGCCACTAAACTTCACAGTACAGAGGAAAGAGGTGTGTGACAAACACGAAACAGAAAATGCACACTTCAGATATGAGGGTATGGGGCAGGAGGAACTGGGGCAGAGGCTTCAGACATCAACATTTTTATTGTAAAAAGCACAATATCACTTTCTAACTCAGGAAGCAGTACTGGACAGCCATCTCTAGAGAATAGAATACAAGATAGTCTGTGTAGAATGTAATCAAAGACTTCATACTCTAAAGCTGTTGGAGAAATATCCCAGAGATTGAAACCAAAATGAGCTTTTCATAGCTCCAAAATGTGTTAGATATAATATGGTCATAAGTGCCACTTATATAAACATTTGCCCCTATTTTATAGCTTCCCTAATATTCAAGCCACAAAGTTTATGCCCTGATATTTACTGATCTCTATGTATTGACTTTTGATCACTCACCCTGGCTTGTTAATTAATTTTATCCTTAACATATTTATATTGTTTGGGTTCCAGTATTTCAGTCTCTACCTCTAGACCTGACATGTGCTTCATTGAATGTGCGTCTGATGATCCTGTGCATATTCTTACAAATACTGTAGTCTACGGATGTGACATTTTTGGACCTTTGGACTATGTTACCACCTCTAGGTATCTATATCATGTGAATAATCAAACATCACAAGAAATCCAGTGATAAGAACTGTTGTGGCAGATCCTGGACCTTATTCTAACAGCTTTCAATTACATATTCTCTTTAATTTTGTGCTGTTTTGTTTTTGTTTTTTTTACAGTGAATATTTCCTTCTTATCCTTAAATCTGAAAAATGCTGACACAACCCTCTGAGGACTTTACTAGAGGAGGAATGTCAGAACTAATCTGCAGGTCGTAAGTGTGCACTTTCTGTTCAGTGCTTGTTACATACCCATTGCCTCAATACTGTGGGTTTAGTGGACATTGAATTCACCTCTGCATCTATATCACTTATGTTAGAATCTGGAAAATAAGCACTCAGATATTTGCTAAATAACAGAAGAGTCATAAAACCGGTTTATAGAATCATATACTATTGACATTAAATGAACTCATAAATATAAACTAATTCTAACAGTGAATTTCATAGAGATAAAAATCTCAAAAATGTGACAGGATTTGCACAAGGTCTCCCATTTCATTTAATAATGGCTGAATCAGAAATAAAATATAAAATACTTAAATCTTAATTTAGTGATTCCTCACAACATATTATTCGTTATTTTATTTGATTTAAATACTTTTTTTTGACATACAAGGTCTAACCCTGTCACTCAGGCTGAAGTGATGTGGTATGAATCATAGCTCACTGCAACCTCGAATTCCTGGGAAAAAGAGATTCTGTGCTTCAGCCTCCCGAGTACATAGGATTACAGGCACGTGCCGCCATGCCTGGCTAATTTTTTTTTCTTTTTTTTTTTTTAGAGATAGGGTCTTGCTATGTTCCCAGGATAGTTGCAAACTTCTGGCATCAAGCAATTCTCCCACCTTAGCCTCCCAAACTGCTGGGATTACAGGCAAGAGCCAATGTGCCTGACTGAATAACTTTTAAAGTTGAATTTCAACAATAATTATTTCACTCTTAGTGCATGCTTGCTATTCCTTATTCATTTTTACATTTTTAATTCACAAATAAAAATTATATAAATGTATGGGTTACAATACAATGTTTTGATACATGTTTACACTGTGGAATGATTACATAAGCTAATTAACATATATTTTATGTTGTGAGACATTTGAAATTCATTCTCAGCAATTTCGAAATGTACAACGCATTATTACTAACTAGGGTTATGTTGCCTGTGCAATAGATCTTGAAAACGTGTATGTCCTGTCTAATTGAAACCTTATACCTTCTGACTAGCATCTCCCATAAGCACAATTCTACTCTCTAGTTCCAGGAATTAAAGTATTTTCAAATTCAAAGTATAGATGTGCTCATTCATTATTTGCCTTTCTGTGCCTAGCTTGTTTCACTAAGAATAAAGACCTCCAGGTTCATTCATTTTTTTGTAAATGACAATTTCCTTCTTTTTGAAGGCTACATAATATTCCGTTGTGTATACATACTACGATATCTTTGTTGATTCATTCATTGATAGACACTTCAGTTGATTCCACGTCGCTGCTATTGTGAAAGGTGCTGCAATGAACATGGTTGCTACTCCTTGTTTGTATAGCTGTTAGGAAACTATTTTAAATCCATTATCTGTCCCTTCATATAGTGCCCTAATTTGCAAATCTGGGATTAGGCCCTGATAATGGTGATGTTCAGTGAATCGCAATCACATGTCTTAGCTCCAGTATATTTTTAAAGTTTAAATTTTGGTGTTCTGTAGAATTCCTCCTCCCATATTGCATGGGAGTGCTTCTTTGTTAGTCAGAATGCTACCAGGATGGCAACATTATGTAACCACCAGATGCATATATAATCTTCACATTGATAGCTTTTAATAAACTATATAGTTATCTATATTTAAGTAATAATAATTTTATCCTACCTAGGTTTGTTTTATAAATATTTTGATAAAATAATTATATATACATATGCATGCATAACTATATAATTTATAATGGGTAACGTCTGTGTGGTGAATGGCATGACATTATTCCATGTATTTTAATTTCAGATTAGAGTAGCTTATTTGAAAACAATAACTACTGAAGAATTTTATATACACTGAATAAGAAAAGAAAATGATAGGGCCACAATGATATAATTCCTTTTTATAGAATTTTGCTCCTAGGTTTAAAGGAGACATATACACATAGCTTTATGTATCCTGTGATATTAATATGGTAGTTAAATCAGCATGGCCCAGGTTAGTAGTGTATCATTATTCCTCAGGGTAAAGTGCTCTTTGTATTATCTTCTTCTAGCTATGTCTCAACTGAATTCATATCACCACATTTGCTTTTTATGGCTCTCCCTTGCCTTCACATTTTTCTTGTGTGAGAAGAAATATGAAGCTGATTCCGTTTGTAAAGACACTTTAATAACTCTCATTTATATGTCTTACTTTCTCTCAAATTAATATTCATAAATCCCAAATCTAACTAGTAATAGTTCATTTCCATTACAATGAGCAAAATCCTTTCATATTTGTCCTTCTCACCCACAATTTTTATATCTTCTTTTTCCCTCTCACTCCCTGTGTATGCTTGTCCGTAGAAACAGAGTGTAAATTACTTCTTATAGGACTTCGTTTTCTTTCTGAAAACTCTTCTTCAAACATTTGTCTTTTTCCTATAAAACTTTTTAGTTAAAATTCATCTCATTTTGTACATGAACATAACTAAAAAATAATTGCCTAACTCCAGAGTACTGCTTTATAGCTCATCTCCTTCCCCGAGCTTTTTCTAGTTCTGTCAGGCAGTTTCATTTGTTCAGTCAAATATAGAGAAACCAACATTTATTGATCAACAGCAGTGTTCTCCATGTACTTTTGATATAAGTGTATCTGTTTTACAAAGAAAGGTTAAGTAATTTGAAACCTCAGAAAGGTTAACTAATTTGTTTCAGGTTCACATAATCAATAAATTTGCTATGCTGATTATGGTACATTTATTGATTATGTGAACCTGAACAAATTACTTAATAATCTGTAATATAAAGTCGTAGTGCTACTTGTATATCTCCTTTTCATGTAAAGATCTCAGGATTTTTTTCTGTTCCAAATAATGTAATTCTCCAACCTTTTTTCTAAACTGCTCATACTCTTAAGCATCTATTCCCATTAATGAATGCATGTAATAAACTATGACAACTCAGACTTACCATGCAACTCCAGCTATGATCTGGTCAGTGCTAAGCAAAAATGGTTTGTTTCTTTCATAGTTTGGAATAATATATATCTACATGTTTGTATGCATGTGTGTGGGGGTGTGTTTAAAATTATTCTTTTCTTTCCTTGTTCTACTGAGTTTTTTAAAAATGCAACTTTTATTTTAGATTCAGGGTACATGTGCAGATTTGTTTCATGGGTGTATTGTGCATTGCTGAGGATTGTGGTACAACTGATTCTATCACCCAGGTAGTGAGCATAATACACAGTAGGTAGTTTTTCAGCCCTTGCCCCTTCCCCCTCCTCCCACTCTAGTTGTCCCCAGTGTCTATTGTTCCCATCTTTATGTTCATGTGGTATACCCAATGCTTAGCTCAGACTTATAAGTAAGGACATGAAGTATTTATTTTCTGTTCCTGCATTCGTTAGCTTATGACAATGGCCTCCAGCTCCATCCATGTTACTGCAAAGCACATGCTTTCATTCTTTTTTTATGGCTGCATAGTATTCCATGGTATAGATGTACAACATTTTCTTTTTCCAATCCACCTCTGATGGGCACCTGGATTGCTTCAATATCTTTGCTATTGCAAACAGCGCTATGATGAACATATGATTGCATATATTTTTGGTAGAACAATTTATTTTTCTTGGGGTGTATACCCAGTAATGGAATGTCTGGGTCATGTGGTAGTTCTGTTTTAGGTTCTTTGAGAAATCTTCAAACTGCTTTCCACAATGGCTGAACTAATTTTTATTCACACAAACTCTACTGAAAATTTGAAGTGGATGTTACCAACTTTGTCTAATATATTGGTTATTTGTGGGCAGATTGAAAACACTGTTTGGATGAAGCTTAGAGGTAACTGAGTGTCCTAGGCGATCATTAAGGCAATTTCTCCTACTATTTTTCTTACAGAATTTATTTATTAAGCACAATAGGGAATCTTCTTTTTAATGGTATGTTTTAATTTAAGTGCTCTGTCCCAATAATTTAATTTAGTATTAACCAATCTGATTCATTTATTTTATAATACTCATTGAGAACTCTGTTTCTCTTCTCTTTAATCTAGAGAAATGAAATCATGAAAATAACTGTCCTTATACTATCATTCTCCTTTAAAGATTTTGAAATTCAGTCTCCCTTGTAATGTCCATCTCCTGGTCTTCTGGAGTAACATATCTACAGAATCAAAGTAAAGGCAGATGCATTGATAGACTGCTAGCTAGATTAACCAAGAAAAAAAGAAGATTCAAATAAGCACAATCAGAAATGATAAAAGTAACATTACATCTGATCCCCAGAAACATAAAAGATCATCAGGCACTACTATGAGTATGGCACATGGACAAACTAGAATACCTAGAGGAAATAAATAAATTCCTGGAAAGATACAACCTCCCAAGTTTGAACCGGGAAGAAATAGAAATCCTGAACAGACCAATAGTGAGTAGTAAAATTAAATCTGTAACAAAAGATTTCCTAAGAAAAAAGACACAGGACCAGATGGATTCACAGCCATATCAGGCATCAAAGGAACATACTTCATAATAATAAAGGCCATATATGACAAATCCACAACCAACATCATAGAGAATGGAGAAAAGTTTAAAGTATTCCCTCAAAGAACTGAACAACACAAAGATTCCCACTTTTACCATTCCTATTGAACATTGCACTGGAAGTGCAAGCCAGAGCATTCAGGCAAGAGAAAGAAATAAAAGACATCCAAATTTGAAAAGAGTAAGTTAAATTATTTCTGTTCACTGATTATATGATTTTATACATAAAAACCCTAAAGATTCCTCCAAAAGACTCCTACATCTATCACAACTTTAAAAATACATAAACAAATACTCTTTGTAGTTGCTTCTCTCAGGAAATGACATTTTAGTGTGCATCTTTCAGGGAAGTGCATAGAGCTGCTAGGTAAATACACCTTCAGTTAACTTTAGGAGTATCCTTGACAAGACTGGCTACAATGATGTTAAGTTATATAAATTTCAAGTAGTTTTGGACTCAATTTGTTCAAAAAGAACTAAATATATAATAACTTCTAAAGAATCTTCAGAGATGGAATATGAATAATAATTACATCATAGTTATATGTCTATATACATCATAGTAATACATCTATATACAATGCATACCTTTTTGTAGGAATATAAGATTTAAACAATGCACACAGATAATTACAGACAAATTCAGTAAAAATGCAATCTCTTTACCATAAATGTTTCTAGGAAACATTTGACTCATTTACTTTTTCTCATGTAGATGAAATTGTAAAAAATTAAAATAATTTGAAAGTTTAGAGCATATGTTGGTAAAAGTCTGAAAATAACATATAAAGTACAACAATATAAAACCTCATGTTCATTAAAATTATTTGTCAATATAGAGGAGGAGAGGATTTGTGGGAAAACAATTTTATTTTAGCTGAGAAGGTGTGAATAGTTTTTATGCCCATTTGATCATAGTTAGCTGCTACAGCTTATATGCGGCTTGTCCCTCCCAAAACTCAGGTTAAAATTTGATCCCCAACGCAGCATTGTTGGGAGGTAGGGTCTAGTGGGAGCTGTTTTCGTCCTGGTGTCTGGTCCCTCATGAATAGATTCAGGCCCTCCCAAGGGGTTGAGTAGATTCTGACTCTTTCAGGAATGAATTAGTTCCCTTAAAAGTAGGTCATTTAAAACAGCCTGGCTTCATTGGTTTCTCTTTCTTGCTTTCTCTCTCATCATATGTGCCAGTGGGACATGCTCACTGTCCTTTCACTTTCTGATAGGAGCTGAAGCAGTATGAGGCCATCGCCAGATGGAGTTGCCCAGTCTTGAACTTTCCAGCCATCTGAATTATGAACCAAATAAACCTCTTTTCTTTATACATTATGCAGCCTCAGATATTATGTTATAGTAACACAAAATTAACAGAGACATCAGCCATTTTTGAAAGGATACAAATAAAATTTTATCTATTATAGTAACTATAAACATATTGTAGTAGAAACACCTAAAGTATACCACTTTATTTATTTTCTAACATCCCATATTATTATCATCAATGTTCCTCAAACTATGCTTAAGCTGTATTTTTCATTAAATGTGTTATCCTGTTTTAACCTTTTATAGATAGTTTAAGTTATAATGATGTTCTATGATTAATTTTACGATGGTAGCATTTTCCTATAAATGATTAACAGCTAGCTTTGAAAGAGGGCTCTAATTTTTAAGATTTATTCTATAAAAATATATTTGACTGAGGCAGGGCACGGTGGCTCACGCCTGTAATCCCAGCACTTTGGGAGACCAAGGCGGGCAGATCACAAGGTCAGGAGATCGAGACCATCCTGGCTAACAAGGTGAAACCCCGTCTCTACTAAAAATACAAAAAATTAGCCGGGCATGGTGGCGGGTCCCTGTAGTCCCATCTACTCGGGAGGCTGAGGCAGGAGAATGGCGTGAACCCAGGAGGCGGAGCTTGCAGCGAGCCGAGATCGTGCCACTGCGCTCCAGCCTGGGTGCCAGAGCGAGACTCCGTCTCAAAATAATATATATATTTGACTGAATGTTGTTCTACAAAACTTGCAAGTAAGCCATTAATTTTTCTTAATTGTAAAATAAGAGCCAGAAGAGATAATAGCTGCTGTTTATGTTTAGAAATGATCCAAGTGTTGGAAATGCAAATACTGTGGGAGAAGAAAAGGAAAATTTAAAGCTTTATTTGTCAAACTTCATTATTTTTGATGGGCTATGTCAGAGTCAGGGTTAAAGTTGATATTAAACCTCCAGTGGAACCGCCAGTCATAAGGAAAGCAGTGAAGTTGTTTAGGGAGACTGGATTGCAGGATGTAACTAAGTTTCAAGTGATAATTCCTTAGCTATAGTAAGTTTAATTATATCAAAAATGTAGCAGTAATGTTTGAATACTTGCCTAATTGGACTTATTCTGTTAAATAACTGATCATATTTAAAGCTCTTCTTGAAAAAGTCCCTTTAAAAATCCATCATGCCATGTAGATCAGTGCAAATCTACAGATAAATTTTCAAAGGAGTTGGTAGCTCCCAGAAAATCTAAAAAATGAAGGTTTTATAAATTTCTTAATATAACAGAGGATATTTGGCCATATATAAATGGCTTATCTGTGATATTTTCATACACTTGACATCTTTGGCATATATGGTGTAAACACATCAGAAAGAAAAGCCTGATATTCCACAGAATCAGTGACCATAATAATAAGAGCAGATATAGGTGACAGCAAAGAGCGTGAAGTGGAAAGCAGGATAAAGTAGAGAAGAGACAATTAAGAGAAAAAGTCTAAATTGGTTGACCTCTTTTTTCATTATGTTTCATAAATTATATTCATAAAAAAGTCATATATAAGATTGTTGAATACCATAATATGGTATGCTTTATTTTCAATAAAGCAAAATAAAATAAATGGGCTAAAATATGGAGATGCTACAGAAAAATACAGGGAAACTTATATCAAGGATAGATGTACGGTTTATTGTTATATAACAAATTATCCTGAAACTTAGTGGCAAAGACAAACATTTATTATATAATATTGTCTATGGGTCAGAAGTCCAATGTTGTGTGAATCTGCATCAAGGTTTTTGGGAGGTTGCAGTCAAGCTGTTGGCTATGGCTGCAGTCTCATCTGAAGACTTGACTGGTGGCAGTGGTGGGTAGGATGCTTCCAAACTCATTCAAATGATTGGTCTTAGTCTCTGGCCATGTGCATTTCTCCACTGCACTACTTCCCATGCCAGCTGGCTTCCCCTAGAGCAATCTGAGAAAAAGCAAGAGAGACAGAGACCAAAACATATGCCACGGTTCTTTTATAAACAAATATCAGAAGGAACACCCCATTATTTCAAATACATTTTTTTAGAATCAATTCAATAAGTTTAGCTCATATCCAAAGAGAGGTAATTAAAGAAGGATGTGAATACCAGAACATAGAGATCATAGGCAGCCATCATAGAGGCTGTGTTTCATGATAGACATTATTAAATATCTCTGAATGTGTGATGGTTAATATTATGTATCAACTTGATTGGATTGAAGGATACCTAGATAGCTGGTAAAGTATTGTTTCTGGGTATGTCTGCGAGGGTGTTGCCATAGGAGATTAACACTTGAGTCAGTAAAGTGGGAGAGGAAGACCTAGCCTCACTCTGGGTAGGCACCATCCAATCAGCTGCCAGTGTGGCTAGAACAAAGCAGGCAGAAGAAGGTGTGATAAGCTGGCTTGCTGAGTCTTCTGGCTGTCATCTTTCTCTTGTGCTGGATGCTGGTTACACTTTAACATCAGACTCTCTGGTCTTTGGAGTCTTGGACTTACATCAGTGGCTTGTGGGGGACGCTCAAGACTTTGACCACACACTGAAGGCTGTGCTGACAGCTTTTGTACTTTTGAGGATTTGGAACTCAGACTGAGCCACTACTAGCTTCCTTGCTCCTCAGCTTGCAGATGGCCTATTGTGAGACTTTGCTTTTTAATCATATGAGTTAAGTATTCTTAATAAACTCCCTCACTATCAGCAGAACAGCATGGGGAAAACCACCCCCGGGATCCAATCACCTGCCACCAGATCACTTCCTCAACAGGTGGGGATTACAATTCAAGATGAAATTTGGATGCGGTGCAGAGCCAAACCATATCACAATGTGATCATTTAGACTAAGACAAAAATCAAAGCTAGACAAAGGAAAATAACATGTTAATGTGGATAGCATATGAGAGAACAATAAATGTTAAATTAGAAAAAAAAACAGAACACAAAGTAAAGTCAATCTAATGATGTAATGTTTGGAGAACTTAGCTTAAGGGGAGAAGAAAATTCAGAGTTATTCTGAAATAATCAATTAGGAATAATCTCATGTATACTTCAGTGATCAAGGATAAAGAATTTGGGCAGAACAATAATATATATCTCTAATGAAACAAGGTTTGAAATTGGAAGACAGTGAATTAGAAACTAGAGTAGTACAAAGTGAATATGATCAAGATTTTTGTGAGGACTTTGATAGATGAGAAACTTTTCTTTAAAAAAGTAAGTCAATAAAACATGGAATTAGACCTGGAAAAATGTTTGAGTGATCATAGTCTACTTCAGCTATGCACTCAGTACTGATGATGTTCCAGGAATAGTTTTGAATAGTTTAGTTCATGCGTTAAATTAGAACTTTAATTCAAAGGAATGTTATTATTGAAGGTATTGCTTTTTTTCATCCTAACACCCATTGTTACCACAGTAAATTTAATTTATGCCAACTATTAAAAGTCTAACCCTTTTGCTAATGAACAGTTCAGGATTGTAAATATGGCCCATTTTTGGAGAATGATTTGTGAGAAGTCTACTGTAGGCATCTGGAACAGACAGAGAGTGGTGGGAAAGACAAGATGTCTCTTTTTCCTTGGATTTTGTCATGTTTGCAGACAATTCTTTAGAACGGCTATAAGCACCTTGTTGTTAGCACAAGAATGAAGTAAAAAATCAAAGATAGCAATTGTTTTCTAATTATCAATGATACAGGAATACTTTCAGAATACTCATCCTAGGATTAAAATGTCTCATGAGTTCTCAATTTTGTCAAAATCCAGAATTTTTATTTAATAGTTATTAATTTCTTTTCTTTTTAAAATTATTTGAATGAAGAACACTGAATGGCATCCAGATGTATAAGCAGTTTTTCTCTTTCCTTATAAGACAGAAAAGTTATGTTACATCCCTTTAACCTCTAAATAGAATAAAAAATGCAAAGATAGACAGTAGGTTGGTGGTATGAAATTAACAACTTGGCATCTGTAACAGATATCTACTTACTGTCAAATATTTACACAGAGAAAAACATTCTTTGCTGTCAAATTTTATTAGAGCTTGCACTGAACAAGGAAAAGGTCTCTTAGGAATATTTCTTGTTTGATGAGAAATGAACACAGTGTCATTTTGCTTTTTCTTTGGGGAAAGATGAAAATAAACACTTATTTAAGTAATTGTGAGATGTTTAAAGTTTAGACTTTCTGCTTATCAAAAATGAATTGTGGGATATAACATAGCATCAAATAACAACTGCGGCTACCCACCAATATTTCCTTGGTATTACTACAATAGGCAG
Organism: Homo sapiens; assembly: GCF_000001405.40. Lineage (NCBI taxonomy): Eukaryota > Metazoa > Chordata > Mammalia > Primates > Hominidae > Homo > Homo sapiens. The sequence goes on from NC_000010.11 coordinate 54,867,130, forward strand.
AAGACTGGGCTGGGGGAATATCAGGCAGCTAATTTTGATTGCAGTGTGGTTTGGGAATGAGAATAAACAGTGTGCTTTCAGAGCTTCCGTGGTATAGTGTTGTGCATTGGGATTCAGCACCTGGAAAGTTTGAACTGTGATCTCTCCAAATACTAGTGGACCCTATGTTTGTTGTTCTGTTGGTGATTATTTACTTTTGGCTTTCTTTAAACCATTGAATCAAATTGCTATTTGATGTTTACTGGGTAAAAATTGTTGCAATAAATGCATCCTAATTCTAGGCATTTCACATTTTTCTGTTCTATATTTCACATTATTTTACATTATCTTGACATTATCAACATCATTCTTATTTGACATTATCTAATAGAGACACTCATTATTTTTTACAATGACATTGCACATATATACATAGGACGTGGCAAGGGGAGTTAGAATTTAACTTCAAATCTTTTATTTTCAAGAAGATATGGGTTCTTGCACATACCCTCTAACTAATAAGGATAAATGTCATGGTCTTTAATAATATTATGCCAGATATTTTTATATATTACAATATTGCAATTAATTCACTCTTTCTACTCCTTCTTGACCAAACATACTAGACTGAAAAACAAGGTACCAAAACATCGAGTTTATTTCTGAAGTTGGCCCTCCAATATCTATATACAAATACCTAGTCCAATACTTTGTCCTCTAGCTCAGCAGTGTGATGGAGGTTCCAAAGTTTGAGTTAGACAGGTAACTGAAGATCTACTGCACAGCATAGTGACTAACTATAATTAATAATAATTCTTGTATACCTGAAAATTGCTAAGAAAAATAGACCTTTAATGTTCTCACCACACATACAAAAATATGTATATGAGGTGATATGTGTGTTAATTAGCTTGTCTTAATTATTTCACAATGTACACTTATATAAAAACATCAAGTTATACAATGTAAGTATATACAAATTTTATTTGTCAATTATATCTTAATAAAGCTGAGGGGGAAACGGTTATAGCAAATATTAATAAAGTGAAATTGAAACAAACAAAAAATAGTATGACACACACCGCAAATGGCTGTCTTCATCCATGTTCCACAAAGCTCATGTATCCCAAATTATAGATGTAGATTATTCTATTGTATGCTTTTGAATTATACCTGTCTATATGGCATCTGTGGTCTATCTGCAGACATCAGTTGTTGATGACTACGCATAAGCACCTTCTCTAAGACACCTAGACTACTTTTTGTTGAGTAAGTAGCATGTTTGGAGAAATTACCTCATTCCACATTCCTTGAATGGCTTCCTTCTTCTCTTCCTCCTCCCTCACCCTCACAGCTATCCTCTCCTACAGATGGCCTGTGACCTTTTCACTCCTGAGAAAGTTAAAACTCTAGGTGCTTCATCAGATCACATTCCACATCTTTGACCACCTTTAATCCCATTTTCATCCCATTTTTACCACACCATCTCTCTGTTCACCATTCAAAATTTCAAATCAGGCTACTTCTCTTCTTTGTACAGCAAACATGCCACTCTTCTCCAAACCTCTACTCAGCAAAACTGTTCTTTATATTTTGATCACCATCAGTGTATCACAGAGTCAATATAGATTAGTAGAAAGAACTTAAACTTAGATTTTGGAAACAGCTATGTAGCAATCAATGTTATTATCTGTACTACTAATCATGATCATTAGCAAAAGTCTGCCATGCAGAAGTCTGTTGTCTTGGTGGACATATAAGATACAAAAGAAGACAAACATGCTAATGTATGGTGAGTGTTCCCAACTCCCTTCCTCTCCAAAAGGTTACACAAATCACAGAAGCCATAGCATGGAATAAAATAGTAATATTTTAGTGGAAACATTAAATTGAAGCTAAGGGTGAATCGAAGAAATGAAAGCCCACTCACCAAGATAACCTCAAAGTGTGTTGTTGGGTGGCTTCAGAGTTTCCACAAGGCATTTATGAATGCTCTACTGAGTTGAATAGTGGATTCATGTGAAACCACACCAATGACTGAGGTTCTTATAATAAGAGGGAAAATTTGACACAGAGACACAGGGGAATGCCATGTGACAAAGAAGGCAGGGATTGGAGTTATGCAGCTACAAGCCAAAGAATGCCAAAGATAGCTACCATACCACAAGTATCTGGAAGAAACTAAGAAGGACCTTATCCTAGAGGCTTCAGAGTTCAGCACAGCTTTGCCAACATTATGATTTCAAACTTCTAGCCTCCAGATAAATAAGGGAATAAATTTCTGTAGTTTAAAGCTACTTGGTCATTACAGCAGCCCTGGAAAAGTAATATTTGTTAATAATAATAAGTATTGTGAGTCATTATATATTAAAGAGTACACAGTGTATGTAGAGAATAGGGGTTAACACTCTGAAATTTAAAAAGTAGGCTTATATCTCAGAACCACCACTTAGTACTTTCTCTTGGAGCAAGTTGTTTATCCAATTCAAATCTTAATTTCCTCATGTAAAATGAGAATAAGAATTGTATTTTCTTCATATGATTTTAGCAAGAAGAAATAAGATAATGGACATAAATAAATGTCACAGTGCCTGGCATATTATAAGAGCTCTATATATGTATTCAAAAGATAATGACTCTACAAGAGTGATCCCAAAGTTCAAGGTGACACTTATAAAACAAGCATTTGATCTTTCTCCCCCTTCACAGAACCACTAGCACATCTCACATAAGCACACTGCTTTAAATACTGACACATTTTCACATGGGGTCAAGCCAACAGCCAGCAATGCCTAGATGTCTACAATTCCCTAGCAATACTCCATCCGCTTGAAAATTGGAACTGACATAAAATATCACTTATGAATGGGCTTGGAAGGTAAGTGAAAAACAACTTTTTAAACTGTTTTTCCCCTGTGCAGTAACTCGCCACCAATGAAGTCAAGAGACTTATATTTTCCTGACCTGTTTGTCTATTTCATGAGCACACTGTCTTGCAAATAGTTGATTTCCATTAAGTTGTCAAACAGGCAAGAAGATCTAAGGAAAATCAGAAAGAGCTCTTCAGTGACCATCAGAGCTCTGGCTGACACAAGTAGTTGTTAACATGCCTAGTAATCAATTGGAAATTTTGTATTAAAGGAAGATTATTCAGCTACCATGCTCATGAGATTATGATTTATTGGGTGAGAAATCTGAGATTTTAACAGGTCCCTCATGTAATGCTGTTGCAGGTGGCCTGGGAGTTACATTTTGAGAAACACTGGCCATATAAATAGGGAGCAGCAAGAGTCTGATAGTTTTGTTTTAGTGTTCTTGATACTTATTTGAGAATATAAACACCTAAAGTCACTGAGTTAGTTTGCAAGTACTTGGATCAAAATTCCACATAAAAAGACCGGGCGCGGTGGCTCACGCCTGTAATCCTAGCACTTCAGGAGGCCGAGGTGGGCGGATCACGAGGTCAGGAGATCGAGCCCATCCTGGCTAACACGGTGAAAACCCGTCTCTACTAAAAATACAAAAAAATTAGCCGGGCGTGGTGGCGGGCGCCTGTAGTCCCAGCTACTCCGGAGGCTGAGGCAGAAGAATGGCGTGAACCCGGGAGGCGGAGCTTGCAGTGAGCCGAGATCGCACCACTGCACTCTAGCCTGGGCGACAGAGAGAGACTCCCTCTCAAAAAAATAAAAAAATAAAAAAATAAAAAAAAAATCCACGGAAAAATATCTAACATCCCATTCTCTCGCTGGTATCTCCTATCCACTCAACTAGGATGTAAGGACAAAAAGAAAAGCCCCTCAAACTGTTATCTACGTAGTAACTTAGCTAAAGTATAATTTTGAAAATAAGCCCTTTGAACTCAGGTTTTTACTTATAGCCCCCGGGCAATCTCAGGATCTGCTCTAGCTTCTGAAGTGCTATTTTAAGGATGACTCTCAACCAGTGCTGCATTAGAATTCTGTGTGGAACTTTAAAAATCCACATCTGTCACCAACTACATTGTAATTTTTGGTTGCATTCACAGAGCATAGGGATTCCTGAATTAAATCTAATGTGCAGACAAGATTGAGAACCACTACTTGATCTGAACAGATTTATCAAAGGCTATATGACCAAGGTCTCTGCCTGACAATAAGGAAAAAACTGCTATTTCTGAATACTCTGGAACTCTCAGACAAGACAACCCCAAGATGTGTCACAGAATATTTGTATATATATGAGACTGTAGATAATGAGGTTCTCATATATTATGTATTCCAAGTCTCAGAAATAAGCTACTTGAAAAAAAAATGTGGTCTAGTACAGACGAAGTCTGAGAGGAAAAAAAAAAAACACTGTAACTCACGTTACCAGCTTAACATCCCAAAAAGAATGGAATCTTATGGAGAATATGATAAATTTTAATAGAACTCTAGTCTGCCTGAGACTACATCTCTAAAAGAGTAAAGTTCACAAATGGGAAAATTCCATACAAAAGTCATATTCCATATGTTTAGGTTTAGATACATATGTTTAGGTTTATTTTTAATAGATTGATTATTAATCAATCTATTAGGTTAGGTTGATTTTTAATAAAAAATCAACATTACACTAATCAGTGGGACCCAGGCTCATAAATTATTTTTGTTCATAATTTTTACTAAATATTGTCATCCTTAGAAAGATTAAACAGTTAAGCCTATCATGATTACAAACTACCCCAATACATTCTACTCCAACTCACATACATCCATGAATATTTTTCCCTGAGAGGATCTCTATAGAACGTAAGTTAATTATAAATAAACTACTGTGAGTGTAATACTTTCCAGATAAAAAGGATGAGATGATAATTTATTTTGTCCCCATAAATAAGATTAAACAAGGTGTGGAGCAGCTGTGTGTCAGGCATAACTATTAAAAATCTGAGCCCTAGTAAACTCAATCCAGTGAAATATAATAAAAACAAGTGGTTATATTTAAGAAGGTTTGAAATAAAGTGTCTTTAAGTCCTTTATCTATTTTAGAAGTTGCTCTTTTCACATAACTTTACTCTTCACCTGAAATATGTATATATGTATTTATTATTTTTAATAAATAAGGAGAAAAAAGATAAATTATAAATGTTTGCTTCATATGGCAAAAAAGTGAATGCCTGAGGTGTTCATTTATTTCTTTTAGTTATAAATGAAAAAGAGACCTAGTCACCTATTTAATTTATCTCAGAAAATACTAGAGCTGAATAGCTGCATAGAAACATTCTGAAAATAAAGGTCAAAAGCAAAATTTTCAAATAAAACCTAGGTATGTATTTCATGTACTTTAAGCCAATATATATCTACTTAAAATAATAAACCTACCAAATAATAAATTATTTAGGAATACTGATACATTTTTATATGGAATGTTTTGGCATAGTGAAAGATTATCTTTCAATACCTCTCCATATATTTGCTCAGGATTATTTCTGACCGATAGTGATGCTTTGACTCATCATTGATTATTTTACTACAAATAACTTCCTGAAAACCTTTAATGGTCATCATTTTTGGCTTTATGGTAAAGAGGGTACAAACCATGATTTCCTCATCAACAGCCTTGCATCATGCTCGATATACTTAGATTATGAGATTTTTGTCACTGGGAGCCACGAAGTGTCTGTAGCTATCAGGATTAAAGAACAATCGCAGGAGCAAGTAATCAATCTCTGATAGGCCAGATGTACCAAAGAAATACAGTCTATAAAACATAATCTTTGACATCTCATTTCAAAAAAACTGCATGAAAGAGAAACAATTTACCATTCATTCCTAGGCAAGCAGAGGTCACAGTGTTGAGGCACCAAACCAAGGTCTCAAAGGACATACTTGTCACTTTGAAAATGTTCTAAGACCCCTCTACAAATTGTAAAAGCTACCAACCATCCAGGAAAAAAAACGAAACAATTTTCTACAGGTGACGAATTCCATAAGTTACACCAATTTTCTGGGCAGTTATGTCTCAAACAAATAGTAAATTTGACCTTTTTGGTGTTATAAGTGCTGCAAACTCTGAAATGAATTGATACACTTTCTAAAAAGGGGATATGTTTTTTATATATCGTAGGTTCTCACTTCAGACATTTTAGTAGTGTCTAAAATTATGGTATAGGTATATTATCCCTAACAAGGTCACAGTATTTGTCAGCTTATAATGGGGAAAACCAATCGATGAAGTCTACCTAAATAAGGATTACCTTGTGAAATATAGTTGGGTAAATTGTTAAAAGGACTAAATGTGATTGGGTTAAGTAGCTTCTACAAAGTGGATAATCTTCCCATATGTCCTCCGCAAATTACCTTGAGCTGATAGTTTTGTGATAAAAAATCTAAAGAAACTGCTGTATTTTATATATATATAATATATATACGTGTATGTATATATATAATGTATATACGTGTATGTATAGATATATGTATGTGTATACATATACGTATGTGTGTGTGTGTATATATATATATGTTGGCTCTAGTTGCTTCTACAAGGTGTGTAATCTTCCCGTATGTTCTCTCCAAATTACCTTGAGGTGATAGTTTTGTGATAAAAAATCTGAAGAAACTGCTGTATTTTATATATATATATATATATATAATATATGTGTATGTATATATGTATGTATGTGTATACATATACGTGTGTGTGTGTGTTGTGTGTGTGTGTATATATATATGTTGGCTCTACTGATATAAGAAAAATAATAATTTAATCAAGTGGGCATTCTGCCTATTAGCTGAGTGGTCATCTGTTCATTTCAGGCAATAAATAGATTTTGAAACTGTATAGTAATGAATAAATTAAAATACCATTACTTTCAGTTTTCTTTTTTTTCTTTTATTTATTTATTTATTTATTATTATTATTATACTTTAAGTTTTAGGGTACATGTGCACAATGTGCAGGTTAGTTACATATGTATACATGTGCCATACTGGTGCGCTGCACCCACTAACTCGTCATCTAGCATTAGGTATATCTCCCAATGCTATACCTCCCCCCTCCCCCAACCCCACAACAGTCCCCAGAGTGTGATGTTCCCCTTCCTGTGTCCATGTGTTCTCATTGTTCAATTCCCACCTATGAGTGAGAATATGCGGTGTTTGGTTTTTTGTTCTTGCGATAGTTTACTGAGAATGATGATTTCCAATTTCATCCATGTCCCTACAAAGGGCATGAACTCATCATTTTTTATGGCTGCATAGTATTCCATGGTGTATATGTGCCACATTTTCTTAATCCAGTCTATCATTGTTGGACATTTGGGTTGGTTCCAAGTCTTTGCTATTGTGAATAATGCTGCAATAAACATACGTGTGCATGTGTCTTTATAGCAGCATGATTTATACCTAGGCATTACCATTCAGGACATAGGCGTGGGCAAGGACTTCATGTCTAAAACACCAAAAGCAATGGCAACAAAAGCCAAAATTGACAAATGGGGTCTAATTAAACTAAAGAGCTTCTGCACAGCGAAAGAAACTACCATCAGAGTTAACAGTTTTCTTTAAATAAAATGACTTGAGAAAAAAACACTAAAAAAAGAAAATGTTACTGAAAATTTTATAGAAGATATAGAATGCCAAGTAAATTATTTTAGGAGATAAAATCATTATATAATAGAAATCATGATCATCTTAAATTTTAAATGTATTTTTATTACTTAAACAAATCATTTACAACCCTAGCCCCTTATCAAGTAATGTTTTACACTTTAATTTATTCATATGATACATGTTTTATTGTCCTAATGAAATCACAGCCATGAGAAATCTCATTGTTTATTGGAGGAGGCTTAGAAATTCCCAGATATATGCTTGATTTTATATTGTAGTTAGATTTGCAAATAGCAAATTGATTAAAAGGCTGGTTTACAGCCTATATACAAGCACGCTTCATTTTATTGTGGTTCACAGATTTTCATTTTTTACAAATTGAAGGTTTGTGGCAACCCCGTGTGAGCAACTCTATCAGTGCTATTTTTCGAACAGCACGTGCTCATTTCATGTCATTGTGTCACACTGTGGTAGTTCTCACAATATTTCAAACTTTGATCATTGTGATTACATGTGTTATGGTTATCTGTGATCACTGATCTTTGATGTTACTATTGTAATTGTTTTGGGGGCATCGCAAACCATATCCATATAAGACAGTAAACTTAATTGATAAATATTGTGTATGTTCTCACTGCTCCAGGGACTGGCTGTTCCTCCTTCTCTCTTCTTCCCCATTTACTGAGACATAATAATATTGAGACTGGGCCAGTTAATTACCTTACAGTGACCCCCAAGCATTCAAGTATCTCACTTTAATTTCAAACCTAGAAATAACTAAGCTTAGTGAAGAATACATATTTAAAGACAAAATAGGACAAAATCTAGGTCTCTTGTGTCAAATAGTTAGCTAACCTGTAAATACTAAAGAAGTTCTTAAAGGAAATTCAAAGTGTTACTCTAGTAAACACATAAATTATAAGAAAGTGAAACAGTCATATTGCTGATATGGAAGAAGTTTGAAAGATCTGGATGGAAGATCAAACCAGGTGCAACATTCCTTTAAGTCAAAGCCTCATCCAGAATAAAAGCCCTAATTCTCTTCAATTCCATAAAAACTGAAAGAGGTAAGGAAGCTGCAGAAGAAAAGGTTGAAGCTAGTAGGGGTTAGTTCTTGCGGCTTAAAGAAAGAAACCATGTTCATAACATGAAAGTGCAAGGTGAAGCAGCAAGTGCTGATGTGGAGCTGCAGCAGGTTATCCAGAAAAATCTAGCTAAGATAATTGATGAAGGTAGATACACTAAACAAATTTTCAATGTAGATGAAAGAACCTTCCATTGAAAGAAATTATCATCTAGGACTTATAGATAAGAGGAGAAGTCAATGCTTGACTTCAAACCTTCAAAAAATAGGCTAACTCCCTTGTTAGAAGCTAATATAGCTTGTGACTTTAAGTTGAAGCCAGTGTTCACTTACCATTCAGAAAATCCTAGGGCCCTTAAAAACTGGTTAAATCTACTCTGCCTGTGCTCTATAAACATAACAATGAAGCCTGGATGACAACACATCCTTCCACAGCATGGTTTACTGAATACTTTCAGCCCACTATTGAGATCTACTTCACAGAAAAAAAAATTTTTAATATTCCTGCTTACTCACAATGTTCCTAGTAACTCAAGACCTCTGATGTGGATGTACAAAGAAGGAAATGTTATTTTCATGAATGCCAATGCAATATCCATTCTGCAGCCCATAAATCAAGGAGTAATGTCGGTGTTCAAGATTTATTACTAAAAAATACATTTTATCAGACCATAGCTGCCATAGATAGTGATTCTTACAAGGAATCCGGGCAAAGTACGTTGAAAACCTTCTGGAATCACCATTCTAGATGCCATTAAGAACATTCATGATTTATGGGAAGAGGTCAAAATGTCAACACCAACTGGAATTAGGAAGAACTTGATTCCAACTTCATGAATGACATTGAACAGTTCAAAACGTCAATGGAGGAAGTAACTGCAGATGTGGTAGAAATAGCAAGGGAACTAGAATTAGAAGCAGAGCTCGAAGAGGTGACTTAATTGCTGCCATCTTATATAAAACTTGAACAGATGACGAGTTGCTTCTAATGGATGAACAAAGAAAGTAGTTTCCTGAGATGGAAAATACTCTTGGTGAAGGTGCTGTGAACATCTTTAAAATTATAAGAAAGGATTGAGAATATTACATGTATTTAGTTGATAAAGCAATAGCAGAGTTTGAGAGGATTGACTAATTTTGAAAGAAGTCCTGTTTTGGTTAAAATGCTATCAAACAGCATTGCATGCTACCAAGAAATATTTTTTGAAAGGAAGAATCAATCAATGCAGGAAACTTTATTTTCCCTTGAATATATGAAATTACCACAGTCACCCCAGCTTTTAGCAACTACACTCATCAGTGGGCAGCCATCAACATCAAGGTAATACCTTCCAATGACAAAAAGATTACAAATCGCTGAAGTCTCAGATGATCATTAACATTTTTAACTATAAGGTATTTTCTAAATTAAAGAAGCTTTCTAGATATATGTTGTGACACAGTTAATAGACTAAATTTTAGTATAAGCATAATTTTTATATGCACTGGGGAAAATTGTGCGTAACCTCTTTATTGCAATATTGACTTTATTTGGTCTGGAACCCTACACACAATATCTTCACAGTATACTTTTTCCCCCAAATATTTTACCACCTAATGAAAATAGCTACCTACAGAATAAAATGACAATTATCTAATTTTCACAATACAAATGAAAAATACAAGTTCTGTGGTATTGGACCATGGATATGATGCATGTTATTTTTAACCAATTTACTTGCTAAAGAAAACCTCTCTGATGAATTATTTCCCTGAGGTAAATGTATCATTGAAATTTTCAATAATACAATGTCTTGCACTATTAAAGAGTGAATATCTAAAAGAAACAAATAACATATTAGTACTTATTAATTATATGAGCATATATGCACATACAAACTAGTTTGAGTAAAATATAAATATTTTAAAAATTCAATCACTTAGTTTGGGAGAGAAGTATTGAAGAGGGCATCTGTATTTTGCCCAATAGCCAAAACAGTTTATATAGTTTATATCCCTTCCATTACCAGCCCTTCCTCAATGGCATTCAATATTAATAGTTTCCTGTGAATTATACTAACAATTTTCTAAGCATTATATAAGAAGCAGAGCATATTGACAGCATTTATTTGTTCTGTGAGAGATAAAACAATGAAATAAGATTTAGAAATTCTCTTATTCTCTTTCTCTCTCTCTCTCTTTTTTTTTTTTTTTTTTTTTTTTTTTTTTTTTTTTTTTGTTGAAGTGGAGTCTCGCTCTGTTGCCTAGGCTGGAGTGCAGTGGCATGATCTCGGCTCACTGCAACCTCTGCCTCCCAGGTTGAAGCCATCCTCCTTCCTCAGTCCCCCTCGTAGCTGGGATTACAGGCATGTGCCATCATGACTAGCTAATTTTTGTGTTTTTAGTAGAGACGGGGTTTCGCCATGTTGTCCAGGCTGGTCTCAAACTCCTGACCTCAGGTGATCCACCTGCCTCGCCCTCCCAAAGTGCTGGGATTACAGGCATGAGCCACTGCACCCCGCCAGAAGTTCTCTCTTAAAGATCTAGCAATCAAGCAACTTTAGGGAAAATTATTTACAATGTGTTTACTATCTAGAAATACTTTGTTTCCTTGTCATGTGTACATAGTACTTTTTCCTGTTGTTATTTACAAATACAAATATGCAGATATTCCACAAGAAGACAGCCAGAGTGTATACGAGTTAATCAGCCTAGAACTGTCCTCCATTTCTATTTACCCTAGAAGCCTCATTCCATTGTTTCGACTTTGAGGAGATTCAAGAGATCTTCGAGACTTTGAAACCACAGTTATGAAAATATTCAAACTTTCTCTTTTTTTTTGTATTCTTCTCTAAAATGGATATGATAATGGCACTTACATCATAGCCATGCTGTGAGCATAGATGAAATTATGTATTTATTTATATTTTTTCTTTAATTTTTAAGTTCTGGGACACATGTGCAGGATGTGCAGGTTTGTTACATAGGTAAATGTGTGCCATGGTGGTATGCTGCACAGATTAACCCATCACCCAGGTATTAAGCCCAGCATCCATTAGATATTCTCCTTGATGCTCTCCCTCCCCCTACCCCACTCAGCAGGCACCAGTGTGTATTGTTCCCCTCCAAGTGTCTATGTGTCTCATAGTTCAGCTCTCACTTATATGTGAGATCATGCAGTGTTTGGTTGAAATTATTTATTTATAATGCTTCGCCGAATTATTATTTTATTTGGAATTAATATAAATACTGCTTTGATTATAAAACTACATCCTAGCATCAAAACACCAAATGATGATTATGAAAAGTAAAATTAAAAAATGTTAACATTTGACAATTGCAATAAGTGGGTTTGTGATTGAAAACTTTAGATTCAAATGTAGCTAGTTTAAACAACTTTACGTATGTTAGAATACAACGTAAAGAGCAGACCACGTGCTGTTTGTGTGTGTGTGTGTGTGTGTGCTTGTATGTGTGTGTGTGCTTGTATGTGTGTGTGTTTAGTCTTTATTTAGGTATAATGTTGGCATTCCTTAGAGATAGTAGTAATAATTCATCATTTTCTCAATGTATATTTTATGTATGCTCTAGGCATTTTACTTGTAATATCTCAAACATATTTTTACAAAAGTTTCTGGTAAATATTACTAACTCAAGCTTACACATGAGGGAGCTGAAGCTTACCCAGTTTAACTGACTTTTTAAATGATACTTAGAAATTAGAAAGATTTTATTCAAACTAAGAGCTATCTGGTTCTTAAAGACATTCATTATTCAATAAACTTGAAATCAGACAATAATAACACATTTATTGTAATAAAATGATGTTATTGGAGTAGAGAAGCAGGCATTCTTAATATAAAATGATAATAAAAATCTTTCTTAAAAGCCCTAAAACTGAATATTGGTTTATTTTCTTAAGGTAAAATATTTAATGTATATTAAATATATTAATATTTTAGTATAAGATATAGTTCATAATGAAATTCACATTCCTACATTATTATATATAACCAACATGAAAACTAACATATATTTCTATAAATCCATTAACAAATATTAACATATTGATCTTAATTTTATAGCTATAGAATGTTAGTAGTGAATATTATAATGTCTTGGAGAAAAGTTTGCAGATAACTGTGATCATCATGATTCCTTAATGTTAACATTTTTCCATATTAGCTTCAAATCTCATTAAAAGTAAAAGAAAAAAAATTAGAGATTCGGCTAAAGTTTCAGTTCTTCCCTATCTACACTGTGATCACTACCTCACTAAAGTTAAATGTGTGAAGTAGATCTATGTATGTTTAGAACAAATTAAAATCCTGATTCAATATTTTTACACCCAGATCCCTTATGAAATACCTTGCATACTACACCCATCATTATCATCATCAACTACAGCTAAAATAAAATGTGCACTGTGAATATTTCCCTGAACTACGATTTCCTTGGCTTCCTTAAGTCTCAGAGTTAAAGTCGCTAACTTGCTAATCAAAACTCCTATGGAGATGAGAGCCAGCTTTAACTTCTACAGCCCTTATGGCTCTAACATGATGATTCACAAATCTGTCTGCATAAAAGATTTTTCAGAGGAGTTTTTAAGCAATTTTGATGCCTCCCCACTCCATTCCTATAAGCAGATCAGTTAAATTAGGTGGTCTAATTAAATGTGCCTGCCAGAAAACTACAGCAAATACCATTCCTGATGGAGAAATTTAGAAGCATTCTTCTAACAATTGAGAAAAGCAAAATGCTTACTATTGCCACTTTGTTTAAAACCCTAAAGTTGGTTCTAACCAAAGTAGTAAGAAAAGCAGTAAAGTGTAGGAAAGAAGGAACAAACTTTAATTTTCACTAAGGTTAAAAAAAAACTTGTTCAAAATAATATATTTTTAGTTGGAATGAAAACTGACTTCTTATCTCACAGATTAAAATTGGATACAATAATCAAAATTTGTAATGATGGACCTAAATCAAAAGAAAATATATTAAATTATACATTTCCACATAAGGAATGAGAGAAGTGCATACTAGATTCTAGAAATATGTATGTTAAGTGGCATATATAAAGGAAAATTCTCAGTCTTTAATGGGATAAAGCATAGGATTTTTTAAAACTTGTATATGTAACATTTGATTGACTTCCTGTTGATGCCAAACAAATTACATTATGCCATCAATACTTTAAGCGAGTTGTATCTAAAGGAACAAAAGAATACTCCTGTAGGTTCTCTCCAATAATATTTTACATCTGAGATAAAATTTCCTCGGAGATTTCAGATGGATATACATAGGAAGGCTTGAATTTAAGCTCAGCATTGACTTCCAGCATCTTTTCTGACTTTTAAAGGGCACTTACAAAATGAGGAAGTAAGGTCTCTATGATCTGTGATGGTTTCATATGGCTTTGATACTTTTGGTTTTTCTCCAGGGTAAAAGGAGAACATAGTTCGGCAGCTTCATAGCAGGGGCGCTTTGAGGAATTACTCAGCGGGGCCAGTAGGAATTAAAGAGGAGTGACAGGCAGACCTATTCTCCCCTCTGAAAGAATGAATGTAAGGAAATGCTTTTGCCTCTTCTCTGCTTTAAGGCATATGAACAAGGTCTCTATAGAGTTTTTCAGAAGCGATATTTAGTTCATTTTCTATTTGAGTTCCAAGCTGTGAACATTGGGTAAATAGTTTAGTCTGTGCTTTTCTTTTTTTAATTAATAATTTGAGAGCTTTGCACATATTAGGGTGTAGAAATAGCATGAAGTTCCTCACTCATGATTTAACAAAAAGACCTTTTGTTTTTTGCTCTTCTATATGTTGCCTCCTAAATTTGGATTCCTGATGCAAAGACTTCAAAGTTAATTTGCTAAGTGGGACATCACAATTAACACTGTGAATCATCCGTAGTTATAGATGATACTGTCTACCTCAAAAAACAGTGTACCTGGTATCTATTCAATATCATAAGCGGATTAGGCTCTACCTCAATTTTTAAAGATTACATTGAATTAGATAATAAATTGAAATCATAGTCAATAGACTGGTGGGGCTTTTTCACATATCTCTGTCTTAAAGCCAAAGTTTTAAGTATTAAAAATATATTTTTGTTTATAAGTGTTTTCTCAAAAGTGTTTTGAAGTAATGGGCAGGAATATTCCCATTTAAAGTTTAAATATTATATACAGCGCAGTAGTAATATATATTTGAAAATATCAGTATTGCCTAAATATAAGTGCCATGAGGGCAAATTTCTTTTCTGTTTTGTTCCCATCTATATTGTCAGAGTCCAGAAGAGTGCCTGGTTCCTAAGACTGTTCATTTGATGAATGCCTACATCTGCATTATTTAATACCGAATTCATATGATAGTATTTTATTTTAGCATGAAACAATAGCTTAAAAATAATAAGAAAAGAGAAGAATCTCATCTGTTATTAGTAATATATTTAAGAAATGGACTTTTAAGAATATCACATTTCCAGTGTTGTGAATAGATACAGTAAGCAATTGTTTTCATCTTTGAGCTAAAATAAAGTTTGCTTCATATAGCCTGTTAGAGTTTCCCATTGTTACCTTTTAAAGTAATATTAAAGGAGCCACTTTTTAAAGGATTTTCCCCCATAGTCTCATAAAGTCGGAAAATGTCTACTTCCCCACAGTTTTATTCTTACTGTTTTCAAGGAGCCAGAAAGGGATTTTGAAAACTCCTTATTTAAAAACAGATGCAAAACCTAATTATATTTTTCTTTAAGGCTTCAAAGGACAATGAATAAAAGTAAATTTTATCACTCCTGGCCCCCACAAATCACTAGACATCCACATAAACATCTATTAAATGAGGAATCTCATTCTTTCTAATAATATGTTATATTTATATTTCAAAAACTTTCCTTATAATGTTTTACTTAAAATGAATAATGGATATAAAATAGATTAAGATTAAGAATCTGCTATTCAGTGATTATACTTAGTTTTCCATTTCATTACTTTACAGTCCACAAAAAATACCATTCAAAATAGACATGTCTTCTTGCTAATTAAAAATATAGCAACCCAAAGATCTCTTGGTACAGTCTTGGCAGTTAGTTCCATAAGAAGACGAAGACATTGCAAAGTGAATTAGTATGATGTACTGTCGCCATAGCCATAAACAGTCGGTTTTTATGTTTAACCAGATTATGAGGTTGAGAGCATTGCTGTCCACAGAGTGCATATAGTACATGCTAAGTTGACTTTATTTGTAATCTAGCTCAATTAGATACAAGGAAAACCATAGCAACCAAGCTGCAGTGATGCTGTCAGAGGAATTCCCTCTGATATATTTTGTCTTCCCAAGTTGGAGTTGCAGACCTCAGAGAAAGTGGTTTTTCTCTGGACCAAACCTTATCTTCCTATATGTAATCATCCAGGGAAAACTGAAGCTAACAGCTACTCTCTTGAATTTATTCTGGCTTATATTCAAAAACTAAACTATTGCCCTAAAAAGCAGTTAAGCTTCACTTGATGAAAAGCTTTTGGATGGTTAAAATAAACATGTGTTTCAAAATATTACCTCCAAAAAAAGTAAAACCTATTTCAGAACTTCTATAAGTATACATTGTATGGCTTTCCAAAGAAAAGGAATTTTATAATACATTTTTACTGGATCCTTTGAATGAATGATTATTCTGGATGCATATTCTTAGAACATACCCTACGTATCCTAAAATCTAATTTAGTTCAGTTTGGAGAATTTCCTCCAGGTGACATGAAAGAGATAAATAATATCTCCAATTCAAGCTTTATACTTAGGTAGGAAGTATCTTGAAGTAAATATGACTAAGAACAATTCACCTTCATATTTATATATCTCACCAATAAAAAATACTTCTAGGTAAAAGGAAAGAGTAATGTATACCATATAGATTCCAGCAGTTTTATGTGCTATCAAACTTCATTACACTATAGAAATTCATTATTATTTACAATCTGGAAAGGAAATGATTTTAAAATACAATGGTACATATAATAACAAACATATCACTTTCAGAGTATTTTTCAGTCATGATTTTCTTCAGCTATCAGTTAATAAAATTGATTGCCAGTTTTTCATATTCACAAATTCTAAAAGGAAACCACAAACATTAAATTGGTTTTGTTGTGTGATAATTTTATATAATTTATATAAGTGGATAATGTGTAAGTTGTAGTCCTTATTGGTGGGAAATTATTTTATGTTTCAGCTTAATTTATTGTTTGGAGATAACATATTTATAAATAAAAAGAAAATGTAACATGGGGAATTTAGTTAACTCATTATGTGGACTACAGTGAGGTAATATCATGAGATTTATGTTTTTATGTGGCTCAAAACGGTACAACTGCACACTCAAATCAGTTTTAGTACAGCCGGGTATCAGAGTAACAAGAAAACAGTGGGAAAGGGTGTTCCAGTACCCTTTTTATGTATTTATTTTTGGTAGGTAGTAATCTTATATCTATAAAATTACCTTTGTTAGATAAGTAGTTTATATAGGAGATAAATTTAGTGCCTGGGGATAATTTCAAAAGAAAAGGCTATCAATGCTAATTGCAAAGAGAGACACATTAAATCAAATAATCACACAAATTCACTTTCTACTTTATAATAAGATTTGAAGGAAAGCCAAACTTAAAGTAACACTGACTTTTCCAACTTCACTTAAAATAAAAAATCAAATGAAGACAAAAACATAGATTCATCATGAGCAGAATACTAAGATAGGTGTGTGTGTGTGTGTGTGTGTGTGTGTGTGCACCTGTGTGCATGTTCCTGACTTTCATCAATAGTTCTTAGACATATTTAAGCCCTCAGGACCAGATTCTCAAGAGTATAAATCTTTTCCATGCTGCAAATCAGTGTTGGGACAGTGTTTAAAATCTCCCAACAGTTTCAAGAGAGAAACAGGCTTTAATGAGAATATGTGGGACTACAAAGAGACACACTGAAGTGAATAGCCAAATTGTTTGAAATGTCTTGAAAGTAATAGTTTTCTCAGTGTAATATGAATTTAAAATAAATATGATTCTATGTGCTCTGAGAACTAAAGCCAAATTCTTATTTGCATTTCAATTGAGTTATTTTACTATTTTCCATTTCAATGTTTTAAAAAATACATTAAATTGAGTCTTCAATTAGATATGAGGCTTAAAATGAAGTATTTCTCATGTGATTTTATGTAAAATATCACCTCTAATTCTCCATTTCCTTCACTTTCTTTGCCCTAATAGTTTTAATAATTATACATATAACATTCATTTGTTAATTTAGTCTCTTCTCTCAAAGATTATCAGTCCCTGAAAGCACAGGTTTTGTTTGTTTAACTCACAGCTTTATTCCCAGCAACCGATACAATAAATGAATGAATGATCTTGAAAATTAAATAATTAAATGACCAAAAATCAAGTTGTTTTGGTCATTACCACTGTTAGCAACAGTGGTAAAATGTACTAAACTAGCAGATATCCTATTCCTAGAAAAATTTCATATTTGCAAGGGCTTCAAGAAGGGGGAAGGGAAACAAACAAGTTTGAATGCTTGACTGTCATGTGAAATCTTGATAGAGGTCATTTGAAAAAAAAATAAATTTTACCTCAGTATAATATTGCCACATCAAAATCATGCTGTATGAAACAAGTGATATTAGCATTAAAAGACTATAACTACTCCACTGGGAAGAAGGCAGAGGTTTAGAATTTTGCTAGCTTTGGTCACAAACAGATTAACAGGATGAAAACAGAATCTAGTAAAAAGCAAATAAAAAAAGAAAGGAACAAAATAAATAATAATTTCAAAAAGGTCATCCCCGATACTTCATAGCGGTATAGAACAACAAGTAGTAAACGTAGTAATCAATATGAAAATAACATAATTTTAAGATGATCGCAAACTCATCTGGACACCAAATATGTTCATATTTGGGTAACTATAAGACAGACATAGAGTTATTTCTGGAAATTGATTTTTCTTCTCACTATTCCATACATACTGAAGCTTGACAGTAGGGTTCTATGAGAAAAAACTCTGAGAACACAATAAAGGCCAAGTTCCTACATATAGGAAGAAAGAGATCTTAAGGACATGATAGGGATAAATAAAATGTGAATACACTTTTTTCTCTTCCTGGCTTGCAAGGATGCACCCAGTTACGCTTTCCTTATTAAATTTTCAACAGTTTAGGGTATTTGAGAGAGATGCTTAACTTCACCTAAACATACCCAACAAAATAACAAATAGACATACACAATCTCTCTCACTGTTTTTCTCTCTCTCTCTCTTCCCCTGCCCTCAATTTAATTTAATAAGAAGCTATTTTCAGAATAAATAATTCAATGACTTACATTCTTTAGCATTGTTTTTGTATATCACAAATATAGAGACAGATTATTACATCAAAAGTTAATGGCAGTAGGTTCAAAGATCTACGGAAATGAGACATTTAATTTATAGTTAATAATAGGAAAATATTTAATCCTCTAAGAGCAGGAGACTGATCTCTTTCATTTTTTAAAAACGAATTTTCCACCATCCAGAGAAACACTTCTTAAATTGACTTGTAAACTTACAGAGATAAAAGACTTTTTGGCATTTCTCATTAAATGTCTAATATCTGAATTAAGAGAAATATCAAACTCCTGTTTTTAGAGTTTGCACCAGAAAACACACCTAAGAATTATTAGCTATTTTGCAACAACTTAGTTGCCTTAAGAATGATCTAGTTATTGTTCAGGCGCAGTGGCTCATGCCTGTAATCCCAGCACTTTGGGAGGCCAAGGGGCGCAGATCACTTGAGGTCAGGAGTTTGAGACCAGCCTGGCCAACGTGGTAAAACCACATCTCTACCGAAAATACAAAAACTAGGCGGGTGTGGTGGCACATGTCTGTAATCCTAGCTACTCGGGAGGCCTTGGCAGGAGAATCGCTTGAACCCCGAAGGAGGAGGTTGCAGTGAGTGGAGAAGGCGCCAGCCTAGGCGACAGAGCCAGACTCCGTCTCAATAAAAGAAAGAATGATCTAGCTATTATTTTTGCCAGGTTTCCTTTCTCTGTCTTCAGTTTACCTTGGAAAACAGATTTTGAAAGGCAATAAATAGGCTTTTGCCATTTCTGTCCACATTTCTAACATAACAGGAAACTCTGTGTATATTAAATTGTGAGTTTTGTGTGTACACAAACATACAATCTTGAATAAGGATCTTTTAAATGTCTATTCTTTTAAAAATTACAGATGTTCTTTTTATTGCATGTGTTAGTTTGGGATAGCAAAGAACTAACAAAATTCCCCAAGGACTATTCAAGAAAGGATGGGACAGAGCTCAACCAAGAGCACTACCTGTTTTTGATTGAAAGGAAGCAGATAACTAGAGTTAAGCAGAAAGTCAATTAGGGCACCACTTCCTTTGCACTTCTGGATTGAATCCAATTCTGTTGAAACATCTAAAATTGATAAATCAAAAGTCTCTGTGTTTGTTTTACTCTCCTTGGATCTTTTTAGAGCACCTCACATCAACAGATCCTTGCAATTGTTAATGAAGTCACATGAAAATTTCCATGATGAAGAGATGCCTTTTGAAAATTTACATATTTATAGTGTTTATTTTGTATAGCTGTATATAAACAAACTTGATATAGACACAATGTTTAAGTGAAGTTTATGAGTTGAGATTCTAAGTGATTATATCCCGTTCTCACCCTAAATTAACTGATTCATGTTCAAATTCATTATAATCAAATTTTATCATTCTATTGTCAACATCATTTTAACAATATAGGAAGAAATTATTATAAAGAAAATCATAAAAATATAAAACCAGGTCAAAAGAGTAATGCAAAGTATTTTTAAATTAAATGAGAATAAATTATAAACTATTCTCTATTAGATATAATTAAGAAGAAATGCATTTTTTTGAAAATTAATAGGTGTTTCATTTGAATATTCACAATGCTTACCATGCAATGCTATTAAAAACTGGTGGATTTCATATACAAGAATAAAAGGCTGACCTTTCAGTCTTAGTCCTTCCTTCAGTGAGATAGTTAATTATAGGAAAAGAAAATAAAACTATACATATTCCAGACAAAATGATAACTTATTTCCATTCAACAATGAAAAACAAATAATTTCTATCTTGTACATCTTTTACAATTTCCAACTAGATGTCATATTCTGCTCTCCCACAATCAAAGTTTGGTATTCAAGAATTCCCTTTAGGAACTTTTGCTGATGTCTCTGACTCTAAAGGCTGTCCACAATGAGTATTTTTTAAATAGCTTTGTTGAGTCTTAATTGTTATACAGTATATTTCACACATGTAAAGCATACAATTTGACAAGCTTAACGTATGTAAACATGAAACAACCATTACAATCAAGATAAAGGACGTATGTATCACCCCCAGAAGTTTCCTCGGGCTCTGTTAAACCTTTTCCTTCTCCTGCTCTTCTCTGCTTTTGCCATTCCAGACATTCACTAATCTCCTTTCTGTCACAATAGTTTGGGATTTCTAGACTTACATATTTGTGGGCTCATAGAGCATGTACTGTTATTTTTGTCTGACTTTATTCACTCAGCCTGATTATTTTTAGATTTATCCGTGTGGTTAGGTATATCAATATTTCTTTTCCCTGAATTATGAATATTCCAATGCACTGATGTACTACAATTTATATATGTATATACACATCTAGTTCTTGGTGGACATTTTGGTTTTATTATTTTGGTGCTATTACAAATCAAACTAGTGTGAACATTCATGTGTAAATCTTTGCATACACATATGCTTTTTATTTTAGGTAAATACTTAGGATGGCTTGGCAGGTTCATATGGTGGGCATAAGTTTAATGATTTTAAGAAACTGCCAAGCTGATTTCCAAAAAAATTGTGTAATTTTAGTAGTTTTAGAAATTCTAATAGATGTGTGGTGGTATATCATTGTGGTTTTAATTTGTATTTCCTTAATGATGTTCAGCACATTTTCCTGTTGTTGTTTTTTTTCAGTACACATTTTGGGGTTAAGTGCTTGTTCATTTTTTCTTTTTTTTTTTTTTAAGTGGGCTATTTTATTACTTAGTTTTGAGTTTTTGTACATGCTAAATGATATATGTCTTTTACAGATGTGTTATTTGGAAAAAACTTTCTCCCAGACTCTGGTTTGACTTGAATTCTTTTAATTGTATTGTGAGAATACAATTAGAAATTGTTCTATCTCGTTAAATGTTCCATGAGGTGCATTTGACACACACAATGTGTTATTAATGATGTCTCCACTAGGCCATATATATGAGCATAACAATATTACAGGCCAAAACCAAGTTATGTGTAATATGCATCAGTGACCTGGCTCATTGAAGAATTGATGACTCCCAAAATTTAAGAACCTCCTATTTTTACTATTTAGTACAGTTAATTGGTAGCAAAGTAAAACTGCAGAATAATGAACCTTGATGTGAGAAAGACCTTTGTGCATTATTAGTTCTCTTAATCATGTATAACTTTGTGTACTTTCCTCACATGCATAGAAGGGGAAATACTGTTTTATGGATTGTTAGGGGGACTGAATAGTATAGTCTCTGAGTAAGTAATTAGCACATTCTAGGTGCTTCCTTATTATCAATAGCATAATGACAAGGAAATTAAAAATTCAACCTTTCCCCAAACACGCGCACAGAACAGAATACTTCATATAAGAAAATAAAGGTCAGAAAGATGTAAATTGTTAAGTATTTTGAATAGCTAATTGTGAAGATATATATATATATATATGATCTATATATACAAAATTAGGATAGTACAGAGGCTCTTTAATTCTCTCTGCATATGAAAAAGAAGCCTGATAAATCCACACATGAAAAAGTCTTCTTGGTCTATACTATGACTACTTGAGAACCCTCAAGAACTCCACAAATTCTGAGATGATACTTTATCTATAATAATGTAGGTCATAAAAATGTTTCTAATACATTTGAGAGGCAGATATGAGGGACAACAAGGTTTTTAATATATTAAATATATTGAATTAATCATTCTTACATTCTTTAAAGAGAATGTGATATAAATAATCACTTTTTTATTGTGCGAATAACCCTAAAATCTCAAACACCATTTATAAATGAGAGGGCAAAGTACTTCCTTACCAAATATCACAGCACCCATAGTATCTTGAAATAAAATTAGAGACACATTAGCCATTGAGAAAAAGTCACATAATTGTACCTTTTTATTTATTAAATGATAAAGTGGAAAAATACAGAAATATTGGGCTTTGCACACTGTTTAGATTGAGATAATACATTTCTTAGATAAATGTGCCCTATATTCCCATATTGCACATACAGAGATCAACTGTGTCTTTGGCTTTTGAAGTGAGAAGATCACTTTAATGAACTTAGATGATATGATAGGTGACTATGAATCCTTAATAAATAACTTCAAAATAAAATAATGTTCCCCATCATCACATGAGCGTGGATAAAGATGTAGCTGTAATGGCTTTGCATAAATAAGTGTAAAAGAGGAAAGCTGATACAACTCTAAACATACATGTTTAAGAAGTATGATTAAGTCCCTGGGATTCCAAAAATATTCTAACATTATAAGATACATCAATGAGTTTAATGTCCATTTTGGCAAGCAAAAACAAAGCAAAAAGATAAATGTAAATAAAATATAAAATGTAATAAAAAATATAACTGTGCCGTAGTGCTTAAGTCTACAGATGGCAATTTCTACTTAACACATACTATGTGAGATTTTTGCTGGTTATTATGAGAATGGGGAAAACATTAGAGAAGAGAAAGGCTTTGAGGTCCCATGTGCTGCCCAGCTTATTTCTTTTAGGCTCCATGTTTGACCTTCACAGATCCTCATGAAGGTAAGGACAGAATAACAAAACACAAGAGATCATTAGCTAGGTAGAGTATAACACATCACTTGGGATACCATTTGTCTTTATCCATCAAAAATATTTATTATTTTTCAGCTTCCTACAGAATATGTAGTGGTAGGCCTGGCACATGTCATCATCCAAACTGAGTATAATTTTCTTGACTTTGGTACTTGCAACCATCTACATAAAATATATTGCAACTCATCTAGACCTAAAGTTGTCCTCTTTCTCTGAAAAACTACAGCTGCTGTAATTCAGTCTTCAATAAAACACATAAACTCATGCTTAATTGTACATATACATAATATAAAGATATTGCATCACACTCAAAAGGATGAGCAAGTCAAGGAAAGAAGGGGGTCATGTTGAGAAAAATAATATCAGAAAAGGGAACATTATCTCATGTTGGAAATGAGTGGTCCTTTTGACACCGATGCACCATAGGAAATAGAGGACATGGTTGAGAAATACATTATCAATGTTCTAAACAAAATTCAAAAGGCAACTGAAAATTAGGAGTTTTTTCATGTCTTTTGGGTGCCAGACCATCATGTCTATTCTATTCAGATAATTAGACAGTCTGGAAAAGATTGGAATATCTTTAGAGGAAATGCTGAGAGAAAAAATAGGCAAATTCTATCTTCTAACATACATTATCCTAATATGTGAGTCAGTAGCCTTGTGAGCAAGGCCACTGTATTGGGAGAGCATTTTCTGGCCTTCAGACCTACTTTAGCGCAAAAGCAACATAGGATTCAGATCTAGCGATCTCTCCTGAGATTATTACAGTTTCTATGTCTGATCAATAGTGAGAGGATGGTGAATAAAAGTGTGGTCTCTTCTTCTAGCCTACAACATTTGTGAGAAGAAAACTTAGATAGAAAAGTGATATATTCAGAGAGAGGTGTTTTGGTATGTAAGATAGGTAAATGCCAAAGGCAGAGTATGGTCTCTTGCCTTCACATGCCTTTGAGAATTCTGAAAGCCTCATCAAAGTAAACTTTGTAGTTTATTATTGTCAAAAAGAGGGGCACTCTGAATTCTAAGCTTTATTAGCAGTCATTAGTTCTTACGTGTTATACACATCATCTTAGCAGAGAATTTAGCTAATAAGTGGACCAAAACAGGTATTTGTAGCAAGGACAGGTGGTTTTGAAGAAGGCTGTAGAATATGCCTCATTTTTTTTTACAGCCAGCAGGATTCAAATTCAGACTTCATCACAGTGCAAAGTGCTGGTCACTACTGTGCCCTAATCAAGGTCACAAATCATGTAGAGACTCTGACTTCAGATGTAAAGGTCTGGGGGAACAAGGAATGTCATATCAAAGAATAAAGGAGGCAGAGGGCATAGTTCTTAACACATTTTTATTTATATGATCATGAGGACTTTCTGAGTTATACAATACCTGACACTTCTTGTTCCTCACCCCACATACATACACCCCCAGACGCTACTTTAGTGAGAGAATTTGGAGGAAACATTGGCAACACCAAAAGACTGAGCATTTTTTTCATTCAAAAGAGACCAAATAATGCACAGCTCGATCAATTATATAATTGGATTTATTTATTTCTCCTCCCTAGCTAACAAGAATATGGAGGCTTCTGTTGTAGGCTGGATTAGTTACAGTTTAAGTAAAATAAATTTTACTTTCTCAGTAGATCAAATATTTAATTTTGTCAATAAATTAGTGTGATCTAACTGTAAGAATAATGTGAAGTCATTTCCTTGAAGACAAGGAAAAATATTTTAAAATTAAAAGCTATCAAAAAAAGCAGTGAATAACAGGTAAAAGAAGAAACACAGTATCTAGTAAAGTAAAAAAATGCAAAAAAAATTCTCACAAATCAAAAGAAAAGAGTAAAGAGTAACCAATAATTAAACAAAAAACATTGAGATGCATGGAGAATTTATCTGGAATATTCTGTCACCAAATTAGGGAAATTAATGAAAAAAAGAGTGATTATAAACCAATAATTAAACAAACAACATTGAGATGCATGGAGGATTGATCTGGAATATTCCATCACTGAATTAGAGAGATTAATTGAAAAAAATAAATGAGAATGGAAATAATAATAATTTTTCTTTTTTTTTTTTTTTTAAGATGGAGTTTCACTCTTGTCACCCAAGCTGGAGTGCAATGGATCTTGGCTCACTGCAGCCTCTGCCCCCCAGGTTCAAGCAATTCTCTTGCCTCAGCTTTCTGAGTAGCTGAGTTTACAAGTACCTGCCACCACACCTATTTCTAAAAGATATTTTTCCTCAATTTAAAGGAAATCACATATTAAAAATTTCATTTCCAGGCAAACTTAATGAGAAATGTAATATAATACATCTCCTCCTGGACTTTTCAAACATTCATGACAAGGAAATATAGAAGATTGAGAAGGAAAATCATCCAAAGATATTGGAATTAGATTGACACTTAAACTATCTACACTATTAGACACTGGGGTATATTAGGTGGCCCTCAGCTTGAAAAGTTTCAGCTTAAAATTCTTATTCCAGCAAATATGTTACATGTGTTCATAGTAAATAGGAATTTTGAAATACACAAAAAAGGAAATTTTTAAAAAATTCTAAAAATTACACTAAAAACCAAAAATGATAATTAATACCCAGATTTAAAAAAATATGAAATATGTATTATAATGCACTGAAAATGAGAAATTTAACCATAAATGTTTATGTGATTACCATTGATTGAATATACTATTTATTAAGCATTTGCTAAGTGCCATTTAGCTAAATATTTTAACTAAAATAATATATTTAATCTGTAAATTATTTGTGTGAGGTAAGTCCTCACCCCAACTATTATCTCCATATTCTCACTGATGATTTAATGATGGTAATAAAGTAAATTGTCCTTGAGCAGAATAACTTGCTTGGTTAGTGTGTATGTGTTTCGGGTGTGGGGGTGCATTTCCATGAGAAAGCATATAAATATTGTTTAAAAATTAAAACAATAAAATTTTAATCTGAGATTAAATTAAATTAACAAATACTGAAAAAGAGTTGGGTATGTAAACATTCTCTATTCCTCATTTTACAAAATAAAGAGTAATAATTTCCCAGATTACATAAAATATAATAATTCATACTTATGACAGATAAAACTGTTATAGAATTTCTGAATTATTTACACGACAGCTCTAAACAAGTGATGGAATTAAAGCTTGTTCTTCACAGGTTCTTAGAATGTGACTATAGGGAGAAGAAAATCAGTTATTAAATTCTAGATGAGTTACATTGTGGATAGGTCAAACATTTCTCTCACTGTAGCCTTGCTTGTCTAATCATCTGATCACTGGAAAAGCAGCGTTTATACAGTCTGTAATCTGTTTGCTTGCTGTTTATAATAATATACATATTATAATACATTATCAATTAATTTCTTGAAACTTTTGCTAAGCAGGTACATATGACATGATCATTTTACTTATTTGAATTCAGAAGTGTTTTTGTTTTGTGTCTCTTGTCCCATAGAAACATAGCCCATCTCACCAGAAACTTGTCATCTAGCTGGAGAGACAACACTAATACAATGTATTGTCAATGGACAACAAAGTGCATTCATAAAGCAATATATTGTTCAGTGCAATTAGAAGACAAGGGGTTTATAATCTGTGGTTACTTATAGAGTATACATGATGAGGGTAAAACACACTTCAGGTTAGCAAGGCTATATAATGTTTAGGGAAGAATTTAGCAGTCATGCTTGAAGAAAGCCTTAAGTGATAGCATAGGTAGAGAGGCATACAGAAATTATTTTATGAACCACCTAAGCCAAAACAAAAGTAATGTGGGCTAGCCAGACTTAGAAATAGAGGATACAGCACAGGAAAGAAGAGATACAAAATTAAGAGGTTATTCAGATTGACCTGAAAGTTGAACTCCAAATTGGAAACATTTTGTAGTTCAAATATCAGTTATTTGACTGTCTATACCTGTAACAAGCACAATGTTGAAAGTGACTTTTATTTCTGTATTAAAAATTCAGTTATTCCTATGGCCAACCAGAAAGAAACCAAAGGTCATAAAGAAATAAAAATGGCATGTGAATGAAGGAAGTCTGTTTATTATAGAGCATTACAAAAATAGAAGAGAGAGAATTAGCCAAAGCAGGCACCTTCTGCTTCCTTAATGTCCTTTGGGCCTGTATATAAGTAGTGAATGTTAAATATTCTAAAACACTCTGGAAGCCTGCCTTACCAGCACTGATTAAAAGAACTGAATACCAAATGTAACCAACAGATTTCCTTTTCATTTATCTGCTACTGAGAATACTAAATATTTTCTTATCTCCATCACTCTTAGAAGTTCTCTTGCAACGTGCCTATCTATACATATTCATCACTCTGACAGCAGAATCAAGAATAAAAATTCAGATAAGAAAGCATGATGTTCATTCTTTTATCTTTTAAATATGGGACACACATAAAAATAGATATTTGAAGACAGCTTCTTAGAATGAACAATAAAAATAACTACAGTGTATCCTCATTTTACCCTGTTAAGAGTAGAACAATGGCACATACCAATCATTTGGATTGTGGCTACTCATAATTCCTCTTCCCCTAAAAGTCAACCGTGAAGGGCCCATCTATAAGAAATCCTAGATTTACTGCCTCAGGGATTATACTTCTACAGATCATTCCTAGCCTACTACCACTCAGGCAGTAGGAAGGATGATCTAAACACTCAGGTTGAAGACTTTGGAAGTCATAGCAATTCTTGAGCTGAATGTCTGGGTGAGGCTTCATTGTACTATACTCAGACAAATACCTCAAAGACAAGAGATAAGTTTAATATTTGAAAAACTTATTTCATCATTACTGTATTTTTACACTTTCTGTTCTCTGAATAACAGCTTAGAGAAGAGGATTTTGCCCCCTTTGCACTGTTGTCTCATTTGTCAGAGGCCAGAAAGATTCTTTTAGTAATTTAACTATATGATGCCAACTAATAATACGCCTAAAAGAGGCAAGAAATTTCCTCTGCAAAACATTGTTTTGTTTAATTTGGGATATTTTTATTGCAATTTGTCTTTCTGTTTTGGTTACTGATATTTTGGGAACCAAAGAAACAATAGTTCTTATTATTTTGAGGTATATATCACTAAAAAGAACAAGCTGAATCAGTCAAGGTTTTTTTTAGCCATACACGTTAGTCTACTTTTCTTTTAAAATTTATTTGGCTATTGGTGATACTATAACTGAAAAATAGCTAAGGGTATCTAAGGGTATTTTTTTTTTGAGATGGAGTCTCACTCTGTTGCCCAGGCTAGAGTGCAGTGGCACTATCTCGGCTCACCACAACCTCCGCCTCCCGGGTTCAAGCGATCCTCCTGCCTCATCCTCCCGAGTACCCAGGACTAGAGGTGCGTGTCACCACAGCCAGCTAATTTTTGTATTTTTAATAGAGACAGGGTTTCACTATGTTGGCCAGGCTGGTCTCGAACTCCTGACCTTGTGATCCACCCACCTTTGCCTCCCAAAGTGCTGGGATTGCAAGGGTTAGCCACCACGCCCAGGAGTACTTTTAAAGAAACAAAGTAGGTAAACATAAATGCAAATCAGTTATTTTTTATTTAACTTTCAATTTTATTTTACTATAGTCAATTAGAAACATGCATTGAAAGTATAATCATAAAGCATTCACATCTAATTTTGCCTCCTTCAAAAACTAGAGTAGAAACAGCTGAGATACACGAGTTTGAAAAGATTCCAAATTCTATCCAGCTGTTGACTTTTCTGAAAGTTCTGGTGAGAATATAAGAATGAAAACATGACTGAAATAAGGAACTACAATGCTTCTTTCTTGATTTATTCCCTAGATTAAGGTGCAACTGAATTTCCCAGCGGAAAAAAAAAAAATAGCTTAGCTCCATGAACTAGATTTTTACTTGTAATATGAATGCCAAGTCATGCCAATAAGATGTTTTTTTAAAAAATGTTTCTTCTCCTTAAGTTTTCCTAAAATCCAGGGCCTTGAAGATTGACATTTACTTTTCAGATTTTAATATTTCTGCACTTTCTTCCTTCCTTTTAGCAACCACTCAGGCAGAACAACATTGGTTACAAGAGTCTCTTCAAAGAGAAAAGAGCCACAAATAAGTGAATTGGCATATCCAAATGCTTTCGTTGTTAAATGCAATATTTTCCCCTAATAATATACAAAGTAAAAAAAACAATGTTTCTAATATTAAAATCTCAGGTAATAAGTTAATTCAATTTAATATTAGGTGCTTTTATGTGACTCCAATAAGCAATTACATATTGAGAATAAAGAGCCATACACATATATTTTAAAAAGAACTCTTTCAGGGTCTTACTATAACCCAAATTCAGATTTTAGGTTTTATGTTTTTCCAAATATTGATTACTTCATACTTTCCCATGGTCTTGCTCCTGTGGCTGTTGGATTTGGATAAATGTTTCTACATGAGTTACATTCTGTGTATGAATTGCTGCATGACAGTTGCCACATAATACGTTGGCAAGAAAGTCTTTGTTGGATGGCAAATAAATTAAGCAAAACAAACATTTGCATTCTGCTTCAAACAATTAATACTGTACTTGAATAAACCAGCAAATAGTGGACATCTCTATACAAGTGGGTTTTCAATAAAGGGAAAGAACAATCACAACGTAATTGCAACATATCGATGATAGTTGTAACTTGAATTCAAAAATCAACACTCTACTTATGATTCTCTTTTGAGATACAGCTCTTAGTTTGTAAACCGTTGACATGAAATTTTAAACATATACTTGAATATTAAATAAAACATAACATACCTTATTTGCAGGTCTTTGGAATGGTATTTCGAAACATGACAATGCAAATTCCTGTAAATAAAAAGAACTTATTCAGTCAAAGGCATTTTCTAATTTGAATTGAAACAACAATTATGTATTATTTAAAAGAAAACTATTTGTTAACTACTAAGTATTTCTTTATAACTTCTGGTGTTTACATATTTTGTAGCTTGTTTTATATGTTCTTACAGCCAGAAACAAATGTAATATATGTGTGTACCATTAGAAATGTGCTAATTCTACTTAAATTTTGTATTCACAAAATGTTTTATCTTTAAGTGCTTTTAGATTCAGATATTAGATCATTTTGGAAACTAATTTTTCAAATTTCACAAGCAATATGGAAATAATGCATAAGGCATATTGTGTTTGGATTTGATATGCTAGATATTTTACCTAAAACTGAGCAATAAATATAACTGAATATATTTGATGATTACACCTGGGTATTAAAACAGCTTATGAAAAAATCCTTCTTTCTGTATAATATAGTTTGGATATCCCCTCCAAATCTCATGTTGAGACGTAATCTCCAGTGTTAGAGGTGGGGCCTGATGGGAGGTATTTGAGTCATGAGGGCAGATCCCTCATGGCCTGGTGCTGTCCTGGTGACTGTGAGTTCTCACGATGTCTGGTTGTTTAAAAGTGTGTGAGGCCTCCTCAGAAGCAGATGCTGGCACAATGCTTCCTGTACAGACTGCAGAACCATGAGCCAATTAAACCTCTTTTCTTAAAAATTAGCCAGTCTCAGGTATTTCTTTATAGCAATGCAAGAACAACCTAACACATAGTACATATATTTAATATGTTCATTTATTTAAAAATGGAAGAATGATATATTTCACACTGTAATATTTTGAAGAATATCATAATAAAGTTTTGGATAAAATAATACAATAATAAACTAGGGTTATTTTCATATCTTGAAAAAACTATAATTTATTATGTTGGCTTTGAGACAAGATATCTAAGTTAATATTTAAGAGAAGATAATTAAGGAATATTCCAGGATGATAATCACACTATATTTTATTTATATTTCCCAGATTTTTCAGCAACTCTTTCTCTCAATAAGATAAAGATATAATCCATTGTATCATTTTTCTAGCCAATAAATACCTAGTTAAGTACTTACTGGAATACTGAATTTTCTATCCAATAAATACCTAGTTCAGTATTGTTCTAATGAGTATTTATTTACTCCCTGGAATGAGGCAGACTCCTATGAAAGCACTTTCCTTTTTAAAATGTAGTCCCAAGGAAAACAGTACAAGAAACATTTTGAATCCTGAATATATAGATAACATGTAGCATGAAAGATTCTAGTTCTAACCATAGTTTCAGTATATCATGTCCATTTAAAAAATACAAAACTGGTAAATTAAAAGAGTAGATGTATATTTGTTAATGCTAAGTGTTTTACTACAAAAGCGAAATCATATATGGTACAATAAGAGACAAAGGTACAAAATCATAGAAGGGGAAGGAAACTTGGAGATCATGGAGACTGAACTCCATTTTTCTGCAAGATAGAGTCTTGCTTAAGTCATGCAGCACATTCATAACAAGCCTGGAATTGGAAGCTATCATAAAAGTAACGATTGCCATTTAAAAAAAGTATTATTACACGAAAAGAAATTCAGCTGTATGAAGTTCCTGTAAATAATTCACTTGCTGGACGTAGAGTATTTATTTGTGGAAATTAGATGAATATAAAGTGGATCTAAGTTATATCCTAATACATGAAGATGATGCAAATAACTGATGCTGAAATAGTTTATCCTTAAGGTATTTTTTAGTTCTTTAATTTTTATCTTAATATTTCAAATTTTATTATTTATCACAAGGATACAAAAGCAAATATCTATTTAAATGGTGCTAGCTTTCTTTTTCAGCTGTTTCTAAGAGTGAGAAAATAAATTTATAAAGTTTATAAATTATCACAGGAATGGTTTTATTTTTACTTCATGATCATGATTAAAGATAATTCCCCTCCCCTCCCCTCCCCTCCCCTTCCCTTCCGTAATTTTCTTTTCTGTTTTTTGAGACGGAGTCTCACCCTGTGGCCCAGGCTGGAGTGCAAAGGTGCGATCTTGGCTCACTGTAACCCCCGCCTCCCGGGTTCAAGCAATTCTCCTGCCTCAGCCTCCCAGGTAGCTGGGACTACAGGTGCCCACCACCAGGCCTGGCTAATTTTTTGTATTTTTAGTAGAGATGGGTTTCACCGTATTAGCTAGGATGGTCTCGAACTTCTGACGTTGTGATCCGTCCACCTCGGCCTCCCAAAGTGCTAGGATTATAAGCATGAGCCACCGTGCCCGACCAAAGATTATATCTTTCTATTTGTATTACTCTTATAACTTTCTAACAAAGGAATGACATATTTTTCAAATATGTATTTCAGTAGAAAATAATTTTTAGAGTTGCTTAAAATTTGCTGTGCATTCCAATAATAAAGTGCTTTAAAAAAAAAGACATTTAATCAAAGCCTCCCTAAAATGTTTCTCAATTGTAACAATTAGTATTCTTTATCTGCCTATGCAATTAACTGTAAGAAAAAAAATTAAAACATATACACCCACAAAAGATTGACTGTGTTGTTGTCACTAATTGTTTAAATATTTTACTTACTTATTTAAGGCATGTTCAAACTTATTGATCACTATATACCAGGTGTATCTGCCATCTTCCTAGACAACTGGAATATATCAGTAAACACATTTTTAAAAGTCTTTTACTTCGGCACTTACTTGGCAGCAATACCCAGGAAATAAACAATGTGCAACACAAATAAAACAAGTAAATTATATATAATATTCGAACGTGATAATTTTAAGGGGAAAATTGTCAGTGTAAAAAAAAGAAGGTTGTGAGTAAGGTGGCTGAAACTTATAATATTTAATAAACAGGGCAGATTGAAGGAGATTTGAGCAAAGTCTTAAATAATCCTTGTTGATTTTATCTAAAGTTTAGGATAAAGTTTGTTAGTATTTAGTTAAGGTGGTAACTGAATAAATGATAAAAGTTAAACTTGTTTGCATTTCAAAAGGAAGAAATTAATTTCAATCCATTACTTTTACAAATAAAAATTGCATTCTACAGATTTATTCAGGAATGCCTTTGACATTAAAAGCATTGCTATGATTTGGTTTTTTAACACAAACATCACCAAGATATATTCCAATTTGCTTAAACAAAAAGTTTATATATGACAATGTATAAATGGCAACAATACCTTGTTCTAGATATGAATTTCACTACTGAATAGGAGCATAGTGTGGAAATTAACCTTCAGCGACCCAGTTTATGTCTCAGTTTCAATGTAGTAAACTTGTCACAAAATGTTTCAGTTTCAGAATAAGCAAGCCAAGCTACCAAAAAGCTCTCCCCTTTATCTTGTAATTAGAGTATTATGATAGTATTGGTCAACAGGCAATGTTCAGATTGCTTTAGGAATTAATTATTAAAAGATGCAGCACTAGATTTTCACATTTAGGGTATCATTTGTGCTCTAGACCTTGTGATAACAATAACCAAGTGAATATTAAAATAGAACAAAGCAGCCAGGTGTGGTGGCTCGTGCCTGCAATCCCAACATTTTGGAAGGCCGAGGCAGGTGTATCACTTGAGCTCAGAAGTTAAACAGCCTGGGCAACAAAGTAAGACCCCCCTCCACCATCTCTACAAAAAATTAGCCTGGTGTGGTGGCGTCTGTATGCCAGATACTCAGGAGCCTGAGGTGGAAGGATCACTTGAGCCTGGGAAGTGGAGGTTGCAGTGAGCTGAATGATAGAGTGAGACCCTGTCTCAAAAATAAATAAATGAATAAAATAAAATAGGACAAAGCTAGTGCATTAAGGTTACAGTTTTCTGGAACTGCTTAATTGGTACAATTTTATTGCAGAACCTCATCAACCAGTGTCAAGTCTCTATGAAATATATGTAATATTGCTTTCGAATGTAGATTTTGGTGTTTATAAGACACAGATAATTTTATCATCTGGTGGCAATATACATGCTAATAATGTGATTTATTCATGAATTTGCCTTATATTTTAGCAACTGACATACACACATATATTTATTTCATGACCACATTATTTTAGAGATTTACTCCTACCTTAAATAAATGTCATTTTTTTCTAACATGTAGTCAATGTAATTTACCTGGCACCTACACAGATAGTCTCATGTAGTCCTTACATGACTCATATTATAATCCATTACTTCTATAGAAAAACCTCACTGAAAATGACTTGATAATGCTTGTGAATATATAGTTAAGATCCCTATTGCCTCTTTTAATAAATCAGTTTGAGCAAATAAAAGTGAAATATTTGTAGTCATTTATTTCAAAAGTTCTAGGAATAAATCCTATACAATGTATTTGGGAGATAACCTAATTATTATGGAATGCATTAATTTCTTCTCATCAGAAAATCATAATTTTATAACTGTGCATCTGAAGGTCTTCTATATATATATTTATTAAGCAAATTTACCAAATATTCATATTGATACATTCCATTCAAATGATTTTTTTTTGCAATGTTACAGGACCCGTTCTTCCAAAAGCTCATGAAATCACAGCTTCAAATTCACCAGTAGTTTAATGTAACTGAAACAAGCAAACAAACAAATGACTGTCTCATTTATATTCAAAGAATGAATTTTATTTTATATCTTGATATTAAGTTGTTGGACTTAATCAATAAGCTCTATACCTACTTTCATATATTATCATGTCAGATAAAAAACAAATGTGGATGCACGTGTCACTATCCTATTTGAAAGAGCTGATACACCACTGATACTGTTTGGTTTTGTGTCCCCACCCAAATCTCATGTTGAGTTGTAATCCTCAATGCTGGGGGAGGAGGCTGGTGGGAGATGATTGGATTATGGGGTCAGATTTCTCCCTTGTCATTCTCGTGATAATGATTTCTCAGGAGATCTGGTTGTTGGAAAGTGTGTAGCACATCCCCCTTTGGTCCCTCTCTCTTCTGTCACCATATTAAGAGATGCTTGCTTCCCCTTGCCATTCTGCCATGACTGTAAGTTTCCTGAGGCTTCCTCAGCCATGCTTTCTGTACAGCCTGTGGAACTGTGAGTCAATTAAACCTCTTCTCTTTATAAATTACCCAGTTTCGGGTAGTTCTTTATAGCAGTGTGCAAACAGACTAATATAACAACAAACCAGAAGATATGTCATTTCTGGGCGAAATATCAGTGCCCTTACTGAGGATGTATATTTGCTCTCTCCCCCAAATGGTTGTAATCTGCTCTAGATAAATAAATTCATGGAATGTTTGTACCTTGGTTGCATCTTCTCATTAGCTATTTATTTCAGTCATTTGAGAGGGAGGGAAAGAGCATGGGCTTTAAAGACAGCCATAGATAGGCAGTTTTGTGCTGCAATTTCAGCAGTCACTGTACTTGGGCAAGCTGCTTCATCTCCTCGGGTTACAGGTTTTTCTTTCCTAATTAGGGGGATTATCATCACAATGTATATAATATGGAACCTAGCCTGTTTAACAAGTAATGGCTTTTATCCTTGATTTTTCAAATTAGACTTTGTTCTTTAGGTGGCCAAATATATATGAGTATTTTCATTGCCCTTCCTTTACTCAAATGCAGAAAAGAGTGTCCTTCATAAAGATGACGGTTGGAGGTATGAAGGAGGAAACAGACTAGGTACGAAAGAAAAGAAGGGATACCAAGCCAATAACATCAACACTACAGTGTTCGTTTGGATGGGAAGTGGCTACATCACTAAACAATTGAATATATGGCTTTTTTGAACATACAATTTCAAATTTTATTATATTCTATGTGTTTAAAATAGTCTTAGCAAAGCATTACTCATTACCTTTAAAGTAAGTTGAAGCTATCATTTAATTCACAGGTTAAGAAAGTATACCAAATTCATTTTGAAGACCATTCAGACTTCCAAAGTATAATAGCTAAGAATATGATGATCACTTTGTTCCCCATTAGAATGTTCCCCTGTATAGGTCACATATAATATTGTAACTACAAAAACAAAATGAAATCTGAAAAATAAAATAGAAATAAGAAACTAAACCTATTTTTTGCCATGTTTTTTTTTTGGGAAAAAGTATTTTATGAAGCATTAAAGAGCAGTAAGTATAATTAAACTGTAATCCAGTATTAGAAACAATCTAATAATAGTCCAATTCAAAAATAAAAATTATTGTAGGTATGACCATGAAATTTCCTGACACCTGATTTAATGCATTGTGCTAATTTTCTAAAACAACTCAGAGGAACCAAATCATTTTTTCCACAAACACACTATTCTGTATGTCTTCATTTTATTGCAGTGTTTCAATAGTTATTTAAATGGTAGAGTTCATTTGTCAAGTGAATATGAAGAGCGTAGTTCCCTCCCACAACAATAAAACTACAGGCTGCCAAGTCAAGATGTATAATTGGTAATGCTGAGCCATTTATTCTGAGTGCACTCTAGACAATGACATATTATTACTATTATGGCACAAATAACTGCCTTTTTGAAGCAAATGTTTTCACTGGCTTTAGTTAGGATGCTGTCCTATTCCTTTTAACATAATACTGATGCCCTCAGTATTATTTTATATATGTCAATGAAACAATATCATGCTGTGAAATTTATGATAAAAGCAAAACTAAAAATCATTGGTTGATTTTTGTTTCCCCCTCTCTTCCTTTTAACTTCAGCTTTGCAAAATCACTATGTATTCTGCTGTGGAAGTATAATTAATGTTATTTTCTTCTTATTACTATATTTTAACTTTGCATCTTAAGCCTAAATTTTAGCCTATTCATGTAAGGTTGTACTTTAAACAATACCTCCAATAGATTTTCATACTCCATCTAACTATACAAAGAGAAGAGACTATCTAGTTACAATTTATGTATTTGATTGTGGTAGCTTATGCCTACCCTAAATATTTTCCCTCCTAGGTCAACCTGGTTTGGGTTCAATTATATGATGATTAAAAAAAAAATCTCAGGTTGGAACAAAATCTATATAATAAGATGACAAAATACTTTCATAACTATTTCAGTTATAGCTTCTACTAAGTTGCATTTACAATGATATATTTACATAACAGCATAATGGATAGAAATATAAAGAGAGAGACCTTTTGTCTCTCTGTGCCATCAGAATGAACCATGACATTTAGGTGCCTTGAGGAAAGACTAGAAATAAACTACCAATCAGGCAAATGAACAAACAAAAACAGAATAATTTCTTTCCTAGCTGCCCCACACTTTATCACATCACTTCAGTATGCCCCACTTCCTTAACTCTAATCAATTTCCATGTGCCATTTGAGGTACCACAGCTCACTCTCAGAAGGTCAAGAGGTAAAGTGTGGAGAAAAGGGAAGAAGGTGGGTATAAATTAAAAAAAACAAAAAGGACAAAGATAAAATACAAGATAAATTAAAATTATATTTTTAAATTAGCTTTTGTTCCTTGAGCATCTGCTATGTATCAGGCATTCTCTATTACCTATTTTCGTTCTGGCCACACAACTACACTATGAAGCAGATATGACTGTACCACTTTCAAATTCATATAAGAAAACCAATGTTCAGAGAAGTTGTCTGAGGTCCCACACCTAATAAATAAATGACAGAGCAAGGATTTGGCCTCAAAGTCCAGATTCTTTCCTCAGTTGCACAGTGCCACATTATAAATGTGTTGATACACTGAAATAGAAGAATAATATCAAAAGTATTTCTTTTTATTTTCTCTCAACAGGGATTAATAATAATAATTATGTCAGAACTTGGGCACAGGCTTTAATCCTTAAAATTCTTTTAATCATTATTTTATCATCATAAGCACATACAAGCAACACTGTATTTATTTCGCTGAAATGTATAAAATCCTGGCATAGCCAATGAATTTGTTTGATAAATTATGAGATAAATTCAGCTAATGGAGTTTCCAAGCATGCTGTCAAAGAAATAGAATCATGCATTTATGAATTTTTCCATATTTTTCTTCATTTCTAATGCAACTAGTTAATTATTTGATCTCTTTATCACTTTAAAAGCTTTGTAATAGTTCAGATGATGTGAGATTATTTGCAAACAAGATAAGAAATGCCAGTTCCTGGGACAGTTATAGGAAGCCTGAGAAGGTAAGGCTTTTCAAGGAAACTAGGTCGTGAAAGAGAATATTGCTATAATCCTTAGAAAGCTGGATAGAGTTGTCTTTTCCAATATTAATATGAGGCTCAATAGTTCCATATGGACAAGAACAGGGGTTGAGATCTCTGAGTCATGCAGAACTCTTCTGTCAAAACAGAACAGTTGCAGATGTGTCATGAATACAAAAATTTCTCCCTCTTAACATTTCCTTTTCAATAGGATAAGCCACTTTTAATGCAGCAGATTAACCGATTTACTTTCTAAATATGCTCAGATTTACTTTCTAAATATACTCAGATTAAGTTAAATTGGTTAATCTCATTTGGCCTTACATCTGGTAACAATGTACAATTCAAAGGTTTACATAAAGGGAACTCTTTAGTAAAGACAAAGGAGGAAAAGGCAAAATCTTTCTCTCACCCTAAGGTCAGAGTGAGCTTCCTTCAGGCATTAAACTGCTGAAGAACTGCATCTAAGCAACAAGGGAGATAAATCAAAAGGGGCTGGTTCAGAAATTTCCTAGGTAGAAAAGAATCCAACATCCAATTTGTAAATTGATACTTCCAGAATATTATCCACATCATTGAAAGTCTGCACAAGAATCATTAGCAGTGGAGGACCCAGATGACTATTCTCTCTGAATATTCTCTTTCAAATACAACAGTCTTTAAAATACAACTCAGAAATCGATTAGATTATTTTTTTATTTTCTTTCTACTTTAATTTAAATTGCAACAATTTAAATATATTTTCAATCCAGAACTGTTAATAATTTTACCAAGCTCACATTAAAATAAAAAATAAATTCCAAAATAAATGCATTCATATGTACATACAATTTGATGATTTTAAATTTTATTTTGTTCTCTCTATGTTTAATTTCATAATTTAAACTCCAGGATTTATTTGAGGATTGTTTGAAATAATGTAGGCAGAACAATTAGCTCAGTGCTAGGCTCTTAACTAATTGCCAGGGGTAATATTCCTCCAACATCTCCGTGTCAGTTTGCTTGAGAAATAACCTGGAGGAGAGAGAGTGCCCAACATTTTGCAAATTCAAAAGGTAAGAGAGGTTCATTTATAAAGGTACATCCTAGTATATAAGACAGCAAGTACATAGGAATCCATGACTGTATGTTGAATATTGTTATCAGATATGCTAAGAAATGTTTAAAATCCCACCATCAGTGTCTCCCTAGGAATTTCTGTTTTCTCATAAGATTATTAGGTCTTAACATGCAGGCATCATGTTAACATGCAGAAATCACATTACCCTAATAATTGCTGTCTCCTCAGATCCTGGCACACTGTCTGGAAAACAGGAAGTATCCAGTAAAAGTGAGTTTAATTACAATATATTGGCCACAAACCTAATGGATCCATGTTTTCTGCTTTTTGTATGTGCACCATCACTCTGCATTTTCTTTTCTTGGCAGAAGTCACAGAGAAAAGGAAAGAGATGATTCCTTTCCATGAGTGTATATTGGTAGGTCATTGATGACTCAGCTATAATTCAAATGTATATATTTCTCTGGGGAAAACAGGTTGTAATTACTAAACAAGAAAGCAAAATTAATGACACTAATAAATATATGACACACTAAATATATTCCAGGTATGCTTCTAACAGACTAACTGAAAAATATCTGATTTTTACCCAATATAATTATGCATGTATTTCTTCTTTTTTATATTCTCCAAAATGTATTGAGAAGAAACTGAATCAGAAAACAACCCTTCCTCTGGATACACTATAAATCCCCCCTGCAAGCACTACAGCATTTTTACTGTTGACAATTATTTCTTCCACAATGCAGTGTCATGTGATGAAGACGTCACATACTGAACTTAGTATTTATCCAGTCTTTAGCTGTGTTTTCACTGTATGCTCTCTTGGTCTCTGCCCTTTGATTCACGTGAATCCTCATTATTGTTCTGGTTGTTGCTATTGTCATTGTTAAGGCCCCCTGGGAACACTCATTCCTATAAATACAATGTTCTCCAAAAAAATATGAAATTTATCCTCTTTGCTCCCCAAATTGTCCCTTAAATAGTTTATGTCTGTAAGCACAATAATAAACCAATGAGGTATATGTGTGATATTGCAATATTGTGATCTAGGGATAATTATTTTCTGTACTGCAACCCTTTTAAATTCCTAATGATATAATTGAAAATAATTTTAAGAAATTTGTATAGATACACCATACCCTATGAAAGCTGGTCTTTCTCAATAAAAGACTGGACAACCCTAAGGTAGGCCTAAGAAGTCAAGAACCCTGGCCCCTCTTTCTGAAGAAGTATGCTGTTACATTGCTGGGATATTCAGACAGAATATTCTGCTGGGAGAAACCCAATCCAGAACTTTTCAGAAACACACAGGCTACAGAGACATTGTTATGGGATCCTCAGGGTGTCACTTCACCAGCTGGAAACCTCTGTGGCCAGTGGTGCCTTTGCCTGAGTTTTGCTCTGGCCCACTGGGCTGGTTCTGATAACTCAGCCTGGCAGGCTGTGCTCAACTCTGCTACATGCTTGGATCCCATGCCTGCCGAGGGTGAGCCTGGCCCAGAGTGGCAAGGGGTGTATGAGTGGGCATGGGGTTCAGTTATAGTGCATAGCCAGGCACACTGGCTGCGGCATGGCAGGCAACTCCAGGTGCTGGCACAGTCACCAGCTCCCTGAGAGACTGTGGTTGGACAAGGCGTACCATAACCAGCTTCTACAGGTGATAGTGGGGTTTGCAGTGTGGTGCCAGAAACTTGGAGACACCAGGAACTGCAGAGCCCTAAATAGGCTGTCACAGCCCTGGCCTGGGGAGCTTCTAGGTCTGGGGCCCCACAAGGCCACAGCTCTTACCTCCTCTCATCCCTCCTTTTTGTCACCTGCAACATGGCAGGCAACAGGCAAGTTTCCGCCCATATCGTGTTACA
Organism: Homo sapiens; assembly: GCF_000001405.40. Taxonomy (NCBI): domain Eukaryota; kingdom Metazoa; phylum Chordata; class Mammalia; order Primates; family Hominidae; genus Homo; species Homo sapiens. The sequence continues at coordinate 54,908,572 of NC_000010.11, forward strand.
GTTACAGCTCTTTTAGCTCTAACATTTGCCTTGTCCAGAGTTCTTGTCCTGCATCCAGGAAGAAAGAGGTGTGCAGACAAGTGGAGCTTTATTGAGCAGTAGAACAGCTCAGAGGAGACCCGCAGTGGGCAAATCATTTCTGTAAACGGTGTCCTGGAGAGTGTTCAGCTCTCAGCAGAGAGGGTAGCTCTTCTCCATTAGGTCATCCCAATGGGTGTTCAGCTCTCAGCAGAGAGGGTAGCTCCTTTCCGTTAGGCAGGTCATCCCAATATGTGTTCAGCTCTCAGGGGAGAGGGTAGCTCCTCCCTGTTAGGCAGGTCATCCCGATGAATGCTCAGCTCTCAGCAGAGAGGGTAGCTCCTTGTTGCAGCTGGTCATCCTGTCATCTCTTCAGCTCTCAGCAGAAAGGGTAACTTCTCTCTGCTAGGCAGGTCATCCCGACGAGTGTCCAGCTTTCAGCAGAGAGGGTAGTTTCTCTCTGCAGCTGGTTGTTCCATCATCTCCTTGAGCCTGGCTGAGCCCAGGGCTTTTGTGGGCTTCCAAAAGGAGAAAATGTGTGCTGATTGGTCTATGTGCTGTCATGGGTGGGCCCAGAAAAGGCACCACGAGTTCTCACTCCAGTCTGCGGGACACAAAGCCCAGTCCCCAGGCTTCAGGCCTTCCCTGGCTTGAAGGTGGGGCTTCACCAAGACCCCATCTTCCTCTGAGAAGCCTGATAGCCTCCTGCCTCTGTTCATGGAGCCCAGGTTATTAATGCCAAGGGGTGCCTGCAGGCCAGTGCAGAGCTTTCCTTAGCCCCTGTCTCAGCCTCCCTCCCAGGCTTGTTTGCACCCAAAGTCTCGAGGAGGCCAAGGTAGCATGGGGCTGGTGTATCAGCACTGCCTCGAGCATGTGCACCCCTGGACAGGTTGTGACAACACCTAGGACTGGCCTCATCTTTGCTCCCTGATTGAGCAGGCCCAACTGTGGGGAGAAGCCAGACAGTGTGAGCAGTCACTTCTGAGCCTGCGGTGACAGGGAGGCATTCCTGGGCCCTCAGAGTGCAAAGATTCCCTGGCCCATAGCTGCAGCTTGGGCAGCTGCAGCTGTGCCTAGGAGGGTGGGGCTCCTGCCTGCTCCCAGCTCCCAGAGCACAGGGGTGTCTGGGTCACAGCAGCTGCTTGGGCAGCTGCAGTTGCTCCTGGGGAGCAGACACTGGCTCTGTGGAGCGCAGCACCACCTCGGACCTGCTCCACTTGGGGGCCCTTCTCTGCTCCAGCCTTTATGCTGGAACAAACTGCTCCCTGATGATCAGGTGACTCAGCCAGGCCCCTCACGATGGCTCCCAGGGAGGTGGTCTCCAGGGGGGTCTCAGGGGAAGGCTCTGGGGACTGTCCTTCTCTTCTCCCCGTTTTCCTGGTGGTGCCTTCAGCTGGGTGCTTTCAGGCTACCAAAATACAGCGGGGAGCAAAGTTGAGGCCATGGCAAAGACCCCAGGCCTGGGAGAAGTCCTGCCCATCTGTGCGAGGGTGGAGGTGGCATAGTTAGCTGCTTCAGGGATGTGGGACACAGGGGTCCCACTGCCACCACTGCTGCTCCCACAGTTGCTCCTGCTGCCATCACTGACACCTCCCCACTGCAGCTGGCTGGATGGCAGCACCTGCTCCAGATAGCCTGTGGCGGCCATCAATACCACCAATACCTTCTTCTGTCATCAAGGTACAATCTCCCCTGCACCAAGTGGGGAGAGTTATATATTCCTGAGCAAAAAACTCCATTCACTCTTCATTTACTCAAGTTCTGAAGGTAAAGATAAACCGGAATTACAAGCATATTTTTTTCCTTATATTTGAGTGTCTATGTTATCTGTTTAATGGACTGCTTTGTTTAAAAAGAGATATTTTCTTAGTCTCACCACAGAAAATAACAAATAACATTTTGATTAGATTAAGATAGATGTCATCATTGGAAATCTAGGCCTAACCCTGAGGATTGAGAATGGTATATGATCCACTTCCTTTCTGTGCACAATATATTAATCCCCATCAGATCACCTAACTACAATGAAAATTTGCCTGACTACCCCTTCATTTTACCAAAATTCTATTGATAATACCTACTCCAACATTTTCAACTGATTTTTATCCTTTGTATGCAGAATAAGGTATGCAAAACAATAGGTTTTTGTTAAATTTTCATTCAGAAAATCAGTGAACTATTAACTATTTGTTGAATAAATAAATAAATGAACAAACAAGTAACAAACCAGTATCAGCAGAGATTGGATCCAATATTGTATCTCAATAAAATGGGACTGCATCATGTGGTCAGGGTTCACCAGACTTCACAGTGCAGAGGCAATTGAGATGGGACAGTGGAAACCATAATTATTACAGGGTGAATCAGCGTAGTAAAAATAAAGGAAACAAAGACATGTTGGAGATGAGATTAGTGCTCAGGTATCAGGGAAAGATGGTTGACAAGAATGGAATGAAAATAGTTTCATAATCTGGAAAGGATGAAGTGAAATATCCGCCCTAGTACCTAATTTTTAAGACTTTGAGTTTCACTCTTAGTTTTTCTGGCAGCCATATTCTGAGGCAGATAACACAGGTCTTCAGATGCAGATCACACAGGTCTTCAGATACAGTTTCACCGGTTAAGCTCAGATTTCATAGAAGGAGTTCATTTCTTACTAGGATTACTTTGCAGGGGAAGAGACATATTTAACAAATCTAAACCTCCATTAGCCTTGTATCAATTGGTACAAATTTTTGTTATAAGTTTTAGAAATCCTAAAATTATACTGATTTAAGGAAATTAATTGGTGGATATAAATGAAAAGTTTAGACATGCTTAGATATACAGGTTCAAAGAATGATAACAGACATAAGACAATAAACTATTTTTAATAATCTATATGATGGGTATAAAATACAATAAATGAATGATAAAAAGAGCACAGTACCTAGAGAAACACACACTCAACTTTACTCTTTTTAACTTTTTGCCAAATGTTTTCAGATTTTGCTCTGTTAGGCATTGATATGATTTGGCTTTGAGTCCCTACCTAAATCTCATATTGAATTGTAATCCCCAGGTGTCAAGGGAGGGACCAGGTGGAAAGTGACTGGATCTTGGGGTCGGTTTCTTCCATGCTGTTCTCCTGATAGTGAGAGAGCTCTCATGAGATCTGGTTGGTTGATAAGTGTCTGGCAGTTTCCCTTGCACTCTGTCTCTCTTGCCACCTTGTTACGATGTGCCTTGTTTCCCTTCACCTTCTGTCATGATTATAAGTTTCCTGAGGCCTCCCAGCCATGCAGAACTGTGAGTCAATTAAACCTCTTTTCTTCATAAATAACCCAGTCTCAAGTAGTATCTTTATAGCAGTGTAGAAAAGAACTAATACAAACATCCATTGGTCTTTAACTGTAGCAAACCACATTCATCATTATTATTATTTCTATTGGTGTAGATATGGAGAAATGACATGATTTATGAATAGTAGGTTTGAATAACATTAACTTTCTTACATTTTTATTCTAGACTTGTTGATTCTGTTTTGTGTGTCATAATACAGTGAGTACCATTCCATAGTAGACAAATTTTGAATATTTTCATATATATATTTATAAATAAATGCTAATTCAGTTAAGTTTAATAAGTATTTACCAGTAATATGAAATTAAAAATTTTATATGGCTTTAGGAAGATACTAGATATAGTTTGGCTCCTTGTTCCTACCCAAATCTCATGTTAAATTGTAATTTCCAGTGTTGGAGGGCCTTGGTGCAAGGTGACTGGGTCATGGAGCAGATTTGCCCTTGCTGTTCTCATGACAGTGAATGAGTTCTTATACCAGCTGCTTGTTTAAAGGGTGGCAACTTCCCCTGCTCTCTCCTGCTCCACGAGGTGAAGATATGCCTGCTTCCACTTTTGCCTTCCACCATGATTGTAAGTTTCTTAAGACCTCACCATCTATGCTACCTGCACAGCCTGCAAAATTATGAGCCATTTAATCCTCTTTTCTTCATAAATTATCCAGTGGGGACTCAGGAAGTTCATTATAGCAATGTGAGAACAGACTAGTCCAGAAATTGGTACCAGAGAAGTAGTACATCACTATAAGGATACCTGAAAATATGAAAGTGACTTTGGAATTGGGTAATGGGCAAGGTTGAAACAGTTTGGAGGGCTCAGAAAAAGACAGAAAGATGAGGGAAAGTTTGGAACTTCCTAGAGAATTGTTAAATTGTTGTGACCAAAATGCTGAATGGAATATGAAAAATGAAGTCTCAGCTGAGGGGGTCTCAAATGTAAATGAGGAACTTACTGGGAACTGGAGTAAAAGTCTCTCTTACCAGGCTTAGAAAAGAGACTGTTGGCATTGTGCCTCTGCTCAAGATGTGACCTGGCTGCTTCTGAAAGCCTACACTCATCTGCATAAACAAAGAAATGACCTGAAATTGGAACTTATATGTAAAAAGAAAGCAGAGCATAAAAGTTGAAAAATTTACCGCCTAGCCATGTGATAGAAAAGAAAAACCCATTTTCTGGGGATGAACCCTTTAAGCTAGCTGCAGAAATTTACATAAGTAAAGAGGAGCCTAATGGTAGTAGCCAAGACAATGGGGAAAATGCCTCAAAAGCTTTTCAGAGAACTTGTGGCAGCCCCTCCCATCACAGGCCCTGAGGTTTAAGAGAAAACCATGGTTTTGTGGGCCAGGCCCATGACCCTTCTCCTCTGGGCAGCCTCACGACATAGCACCCTGCATCGCAGCCACTCCAGGTCCAGCCATCAGAAGGTGCAAGCCCCAAGCATTGGCAGCTTCCATATGTGTGCAGAGGGCAAGACTTGAGTCTTGGGAGCCTCTGCCCAAATTTCACAGGATGTATGAAAACACCTGGATGTCCAGGCAGAAGAATGTGGAAGGGGCAGAGCCCTCATGGAGAACCTCTACTAGGGTAGTGCAAAGGGGAAATATGTGGTTGGAGCCACACACAGAGTTCACATTGGTGCACTGCTTGGTGAAGCTGTGAGAAGAGGGCCATAGTCCTAAAGATTCCAGAATGGTAGATCCGTCAACATCTTGCACCAAGTGCTTGGAAAAGCCGCAGGCACTCAATGTCCACCTGTGAAACCAGCTGTGGGTGATCTACCCTGCAGAGCCACAAGGACAGAGCTGCCCAATTCCTTGGGAGCCCACCCCTTGCATCAGTGTGTCCTGGATATGAGAGATAGAGTCAAAAAATATTATTTTGGAGCTTTGAGATTTAATGACTTCCCTGCTGGGTTTTGCATGGGGCCTGTAGCCCCTTTGTTTTAGCCAATTTCTCACTTTTGAAATGGGAACATTTACCCAGTGCCTGTACCCCCACTGTATCTTAGAACTAACTATCTTGTTTTTGATTATACAGGCTCACAGGCAGTAGGGGGTTGCCTTGTCTCATATGAGACTTTAGACTGTGAACTTTTGAGTTTGTGCCAAAAGGCTTTAAGATTTTCAGGGACTGTTTGAAAGGCATAATTGTGTTTTGAAATGTGAGAAGGGTGTGAGATTTTAGAGAGGCCAGGGACAGCATGATATGATTTGGCTCTGTTTTCCCATTCAAATCTCATGTTGAATTTCAATTCTCAGTGTTTGAGGAGGGGCATGGTGGGAAGTGATTGGATCGGGAGGGCAGATTTCTCTTTGTTGTTCTCATGATAGGGAGTGAGTTATCATGAGATTTCATTGTTTAAAAGGGTGTGGCACCTTCCTGTTTGCTCTCTCTTTTTCCTGCTCCAGTGATGTAGAATGTGTCAGTTTCCCCTTCACCTTCTGCAATGATTGTAAGTTTTGCAATGATGGGCCAGTTTGAAATTATTTATGTCAAAATGACATAAATAAAAATTGTTTTAATCCCTATTTCAGTCAGTCATGGTAAAACTTCATCTGAGATTTTCCTAATTGTTACATACAATCAAGATCAAAGTTACTGGTTTTCCATGGAAACTCAAAACATATGGAATAGGGGGCCTTATGCTGGAAACTTTAATCTTGCGCCTTAGTTTTCCACTCTGGACACTAAGCAATGTATTAAACCTCCTCTCAAATCCTCATTCCTTTGAAAAATGACAATAACTGAGCCCACTTCATAGGTTCATGCTGAAAACAGCATTAGATAATCTACATAAGGCTTCTACTAAGAAATTCATAGAATACTCAGCTTTTCCTAAATTAGTTGGGATAACCAAAACCCTTCAAATCTCAGTGGTGTGTGGCTACAAAGATTTGCTTGACATTCATATTATTTGCTCACAGATGGTAAGTGTCGTCCTCACTCAAGGACATGCCATTATCCTTATCTGGGACATGCCATTCTCATGGCAGAGCAGAAAAAGCAAAGATACAATCTTATGATGGGTTACTTCTTTGTGGCATATGCCACTTTTTACCCTGTATCACTGGTGAAACCTAGACATTTAGACATACGATACAGGTCTAATCATCAAATTATACAAAACAAAACAGTCATAGTATCTACCGCAATGATCAATTACTTATTATCATTGTTATTGCTAAGAAGCACTATGTACATAAAAGAACGATCAAGATGTTTACCATTCTGGAACTCATGGAATATATGGAATAAATTAGAGTGCTGTCATGAACTTTGTGTCTAAGATCTGATGATATGTGTGCCACATGCTACTTGAAGGTTGACCAGTACAATCTCTACAACAGAAGATTGAACCCACTACAAAGCTTCATTTTTTAGTCAAGATATTAAGTAAGTGAATATCAGATATTAATGATGCTAATATGCCTTAGAAAAAAATCCTCAAAATTATTTGGAATATAGGAGTCCATGAGATAGAAGAGGGCTTTCATAGCTATGAATGTTACATGAAACTCTGAAGTGTTCTCCTGGGGATGAAGAAATAATGCACTCTTTGATTATTCATGCTCTACATATAAAATTAGAATTCATAACATGTAAAATAGAGGCCTCTGGAAAAATTTCCATCTTGATAGGGGTGACTGATAGGTGTGCACAGTAGCTAGGGTTTACATAAAGTGTTAGTACTGAAATAATATACAGAACATGTGTAATTTGAATAAGTTTTGAAAATCAAGTATATTTCAAGGACAGGCCACTTCCAAATTGAGCAGGAAACCTTCCTCCTTAAGCTGAAGTTTTCTGTATTAAGAATATTTCATTCCCATTCTGTAAGATTCTAAATAATTATTCAAAGTACAAGAATTTGTATCCATTAAATATCTTGAGATTACCTATTTATTTATTTATTTTGAGATGGAGTCTCACTCTGTTGTCCAGGCTGGAGTGCAGTGGCATGATCTTGGCTCACTGCAACCTCCACCTCCTGGGTTCAAGCGATTCTCCTGCCTCAGCCTCCCAAGTAGCTCAGCTCACAGGCACCTGCAACCGTGCCTGGCTAATTTTTGTATTTTTAGTAGGGATGGGTTTCACCATTTTGGTCAGGCTGGTCTCGAACTCCTGACCACCCACCTCAGCCTCCCAAAGTGCTGGGATTACAGGCAAGTAGCTCAGCTTACGGGCACCTGCAACCATGCCTGGCTAATTTTTCTATTTTTAGTAGGGATGGGTTTCACCATATTGGTCAGGCTGGTCTCGAACTCCTGACCACCCACCTCAGCCTCCCAAAGTGCTGGGATTACAGGCATGAGCCATCACACCTGGCTGACATTACCTAATTTTATTTACCTGAAAATATTTGTTGTCTCCCCAAGGTGCATATATAGGAAGTCACTACAGAGTTTTGACACTATCAGCTTTCTCTTTTTAGTGAAACTTAAATGTGTTAGGTGACTAGAGCAAAAGGAGAGCTCTAGTTCATATGTATTATATGGATATGGCATAATATCATTCCTCATCTGGTATCTGTCTGAATAGCCACATCTATCAAATCTATTGTTTGCTCTAAGTATAAAACCAGCTTAATGGGGTGATTTGTTTAAAACAAAACATTTTTAAAGTTTCTATTTTTTAAAGCTGTGTATTATGAGCAGAAAAATCATTTTCCATCCTATGGCATATATTTCAGAAGAACTTTCTTATATTCTAAGGAGCAAAAGCCATCATTACACATCTCACAATCCGATATCACCTTTTATATCTATCTCCCCACCTCCAAAGATGTAATTGATTTTTAAACTCCATTTATAAAAATTAAGCTGGTATTTTCCAAATTGTAAGATTAAAATTGGTAATATTTGACTTGAATACAGAGTGCCATGACCGCTGATTCTTGCTATTTCTAGCAACAGGGAAAGGGGAGGATTTTTGGGATTTTTTGCAAGTGATGAGAATGGTAGATGGCTTGCATCTTGGTATGTAGTGCTTACTGTCACATAGGAGAGTCCCAGCAGAAAGATGACCATGTATGCAGGACATAATACACAGAAAACAAGAAAGAGTACGGGTAGAGTGAGCTCTTTTTTCATCAGGAAATTAGAAATTTAGAAGACATGCTGCAGATGGAAGAGTGTTGAATAGCATTGGTTAGAAACAATGCCTATGGTACTGGACAAGAGTAATATATTAGTTGGACCATAAATACGTAAAATGCATTTGGCTAGAACATATGTATTGTATAATCAAAGACTTAGATTTGTGTGGTGGGTAATATTTTCTGTGTTTAGTAGACATGAAATTTATCAATTTAGAAGATTTAGCCAATAGCCTTTTTGTCAGAAAAATAAGAAGAGCCCTAGAGGAGACTCTATATCCCTAAAACCAGATAACTTAATTGTGCAAAGAACGTAGCTGATGTCTGAACAAACAGGCAAACATTTCTGCTAAGAACAGAATAGTGAGGACATCCTGTCATTGCTAGATGACTTCAATAAGGGACTCCTTCCTTACCACCAGTATTGTGAAGATGACAATAAACCATATTCAAATACAGTACATCATAATACAACATTGAACTCATTTATTGCCTGTGCTATGATTACCATCCCTGTACTTTGCACGTCTAACTTAAGCCCATATAGAGCATACAACTCAAGTGAAACAGCTTCTGGGAAGGCTAGAAACTATGCTCTGTGACTTGAATACTCAATGCAACCAAGCCTGCCTCTAAAGAACAAGGGCATCAAAACCTGATGTGAAGAATGAAGACTAGAGGTGGTCTCCAGAAATTTTTAGATAATTTAAATTCAAGTTCCTTTTGGATACCATAAAAATGGGGAAGGTTCTCTGTGAATGTAACTGAATCTGTGTTTCCTTGACAAATTTGTGCACTAAGGCATATTCAAATGGTTTAAAAAATAAAAGAAGGAGATATATTTTTACTCATATATGTTGGTGGAGGATATCAATACTAATTATCTCAGTACACATTTCTATGAGGTCAGTTACATATGTATGACTTTTTTTGTAAACTGATATTTAAAATTTCTCTCACTTACGATAGTGATTTTCTCCCTGATTTTATTCAAAGCTTTTCTCCCTCTCCATACTTTAAGTTTCTCATGAATTCCTTATTTATGTTAAACACATCATAACCCAAACAATAGCTATGCAAAATGCATTTTTTTCTTGCTTTTCTAGCTTGTTAAGGCCTTTATTTTGAGAAATTATGACCATACGCTTCTATTAATTTTGCTTCAACTTTTCCAGCCTTTTCAACTACCTTTGATTGGAGGATGATGAAATTACATTACTCTGAAATTAAACAGAAAAATCAGATATGACAAGTCCCTTCTTGGATAGGTTGTATTATATGAAGAACAAGAAGTTATAGAAAAAAAAATGAGCATAGTCAAATTATAGGATTTGTTTTTTGGTTTCTTAAAAAGCACCTTATAACGGAGAGTAATTCTCATTTAAAAAAATACTGTTCCGTGGAATTATAGAATGTTAAATAGACTAAACTAGAATATCTGGGCCAACACTCTCATTTAAGAGATGAGATAACTTTGTCTCAGAAAAAGGAGCAGTGCCTTTGTGAAACACATGGCTAATTTGTGGCAGCACTAACATGAAAACTTCAGTTTCCTGATTACACACTGTCATTAATATGGTAATTGCACTAACACCAGCATGAGCCATATTAAACATATGCTTCTAATTGCATGTAGCTACACTGTTTCCTTATATCCCAATATTACTCTTTTTTAATAAAAAGTCAAAACAAATAAAAATACTTGTATGTGTAAGTCTATAGAAAGTATATATTGTTCTCCTTAGCAGTCACCTTTTCAAATACAGATGCTCCTCAACTTATGATGGGTTTATGTCCATATAAACCTAATTTAAGTTAAAAATATCTTAAGTGAAAAATGTATTTAATATGCTGAATACACCAAACATCATAAGTGAGCCTAACATACCTTAAACATGAGCAGAACATTTGGATTAGACTGGCTGGGTGGGAGCTGCAACTTGCCAGAGTATCATATTGCGTATCACTCATTTAGGAAAAGATCACAATTCAAAAATTTAAGTGTAGTTTATATTAAATGCTGTTGCTTTCTCACCATCGTAAAGTAAAAAAATTGTAAGTTGGACTATGATAAGTTGGAGACTGTCTGCATAATTGTTTCAGTGTTAATCGTTTGTTGTCTTTTACACATTCATGTTCCTTGAATACTCTTTTTTTGGATTCCATTCCTGAACTTATTAGCTTCAATGTATAAATCAGACATGTGATATTATTTAAGCATCCCTTGTGTAGTCATAGTTTCCCTACAATATATGATTTCTGTTCTCATTTTATAGGTAGGAACATTATATAGGGCAAGATCAACAACTATCCTTGAGCCTCATCTAACCAGCAAAAGGGATAATGTTTGCTCAATCTCTATTAGCCTGAAAGAATTTCACCCACGTTTTGTACTTGATTTACTTTCAGCTGTTCTTTAGGAACAATTTCAAGCCATAGTGCCTTTAAGATACTTCCTCTGAACCCCAAAATATAAAGCCACACATATAATATCTCTCTATGCATCCCAGAGTAACTCACATGTATCTCCTTTGCTTCGGATACATTACCCTTACTGTACAGTTCTCTATTTAATTTTTGGTGTTTTTCTGTTTCTGTTTTGTTTTGATTTATAGTAAATACTAAACAAATGCTTGCTGAATGGCTTGGCCATAACTTTGACTTTAGACTGCAGGACTTGTCTACATTTCTCCTCTTGCATTGTCCTCCAACCATAGGTAACCCAACAGATTTGAGTTTAAACATTACTTTCATATGAAATATGAACTACGATTTTCTTCCAGAAAACCAAGCAACATTGCAAATCTTATACAACCTTCCCATTTGAGGATACCACTGAAATGCTCATAAATTCTATGAGGTTTGGGAAAAAAAAAAGGCTCTGTAACATTTGAGAATTCATTCTGCTTCTTGTCATCACTGGGACTATTTTCACCTTTGTCTTTCCTAAGTGGAACTGTAGCCCTCATTCTTCAGAAGCATAACAAGGGGGACATGTATTTATTCTTCCATCTAATACATGATTAATAATGATCTATACTCCTCTCGTTTTGAGTTGAATAATTTACGTATCCATACTTTTTAATATTCTCTATGTTCGTTCCAATTTTTAAACCATTCATTACTTCAGAAAGACGCGACAATGAAAAACAAAAATTTCTCGGCCGGGAGCGGTGGCTCACGCCTGTAATCCCAGCACTTTGGGAGGCCGAGGCGGGCAGATCACTAGGTCAGGAGATCGAGACCATCGTGGCTAACACGGTGAAACCCCGTCTCTACTAAAATTGCAAAAAATTAGCCGGGCATGGTGGCGGGCACCTGTAGTCCCAGCTACTCGGGAGATGAGGCAGGATAATGGCTTGAACCCGGGAGGCGGAGCTTGCAGTGAGCCGAGATCGCGCCACTGCACTCCAGCCTGGACGACAGAGCAAGACTGTGTCTCAAAAAAAAAAAAAAAAAAAAAAAAAAATCTCCAGTGTGTGTATATATTAGGCGATCAGGACATGTGTGACTGTGGCATTCCTAAGAAGCATTTTATACAAATTAGCATGAGCCTTAGTCTTCTCAAAGTAATTATTCCCTGAATACTTTTATTTTTCAACCATAGAAACCAATTTATTGAACCCGCAGAATACACAAAGCCTTCACTAACAAGTGTGAATTGAGAATTGTGAATTTCTACTTTGGAAACAAGTTTGATGAATAAGAATCATAGAGTAAACACAGTGTTTCTATCATCTTTTAGTAATTATGCAGTTGTACCAGAATGGAATATACACAACTATTTTCCAAACAAGAGGCAGTTGAAAACTGCCAAAAGATTTGAGGCTTCATCTTGGCTTTGTAAATGTAATGATGAATTATTTTGATATAGTAACCCACAGTCTATTGACTGATGACCATCATATCATTAGGAATAATAAAAAAGTGCCTTAAAATCATACTGCCTGCCAATGAAGCCCCATTCTTCTCATGAGTGGGTCTGTGGCATTTCCTCTTCTGTTATGATCCTCATTTCATGTGCATGTATTATAAACTTTATTAGAACTGATGGTACAAATGATGCCCTCTTTCACACTTCTAAGATGTGGTAAAAGACTCTTATCCATAACCTAGAAGAGTTAAATTCTTGCATCTTACCAATCTCAATTTTCCATGCTATTTAGAGTTGAATTTTTCAACATTATATAGAGGCTTGTCCAAATTTCATACTTTTTGCTTAACTTTATCTTTGCTTCCTGATTCTATTGCCTCAATATATACCCTCACGAACTTTTATTATTTTTATTTTTATTTATTTTTTTTTACTTTTTAACTTTTAAGTTCAGGGGTACATGTGAAGGTTTGTTGTATAGATAAACTCATGTCCCAAGGGTTTGTTGTACAGATTATTTTGTCACTCAGGTATTAAGCCTAGTAGACATTAGTTATTTTTTTCTGGTGCTCTCCCTCCTCCTTTCCTCCTTTCTCTGGTAGGACCAAGTGTCTGTTGTTCCCCTCTATGTGTCCATGTGTTCTCAACATTTAGTTCCCACTTATAAGTGAGAACATATAGTATTTGTTTGTCTGTTACTGCCCTAGTTTGCTAAAGATAATCACCTCTAGCTCCATCCATGTTCTGATAAAAGACTTGATCTCACTCTTTTTATGGCTGCATAGTATTCCATAATGTTTATGTACCACATTTTTTTCATTCAGTCTAACACTGTATTAGTCCACTCTAGAACTGGCATAAAAAAACTACCTCTGACTGGGTAATTTCTAAAGAAAATAGTTTTAGTTGATGCAAAGTTCCGCAGGCTGTACAGGTAGCATCTCTGGGGAGGCCTCGGGAAACTTACAACCATTGCAGAAGGCAAAAGGGAGGCAAGCACCTCTCCTGCTCCATGGTGGAGCAGAAGAGAAAGGGAGTGAAGAGGGAAGTGCAAAACACTTTCAAACAATCAGATCTTGTGAAAACTCACTCACTATCATGAGATGAGCAAGAAGAAAATCCTAACCCATGATTCAATTGCCTCCCAGCAGGCTCCGCCTCCAACACACAGGTATTACAATTCAACATGAGATTTGGGTGGGAAAACAGAGCCAAACAATATCATTCCACCTTGGTCCTTCCCAAGTCTCATGTCCTTCTCATTTTTAAATCATGACCATGCCTTTTCAACAGTCCCCCAAAGTCTTGACTCATTACAGCATTAAGTCAAAAGTCCAAGCCCAAAATCTGATCAGAGGCAAGGCAAATCCCTTCCACTTATGGGCCTGTAAAATTCAAAACAAGTTAGCTATTTCCAAGTTAAAATGTGGGTACAGGCATTGGGTAAATGCTCCTATTCCAAAAGAGAGAAATTGGCCAAAACAAGGGAGCTATAGGCCCTATGCAATTCCAAACCCAGCCGGGCAGTCATTAAATCTCAAAGCTTAAAGTATTTTACAGGCTCATATGTGGAAAGGAGTTGCCTTGTCTCAGATAAGATTTTGGACTTGGACTTTTGAGTTAATGCTGGAAAGAATTAAGACTTTGGGGGATTATTGGGAAGACATGATTGTGTTTTATAATGTGAGAAGGACATAAGATTTGGAAGGGGCCAGGGGTGGAATGATATGTTCGACTCTGTGTCCCTACCCAAATCTCATGTTGAATTATAATACCCACAATCTTCTTTGACACCACAATCTTCTTTCTCACATCCAGGCCACAATGATGTAAGGGTGAGCTCCCAAGGCCTTGGGAAGCTCCACCTCTGTGACTCTGCAGGGCACAGCCCTCATGGTTGCTTTCATGGGATTAAGTGTCTATGCCTTTTTCAGGTGCATAGTGCAAACTGTTGATGGATCAAACATTTTGGGGTTTTTAGGACAGTGGGACACTTCTCACAGCTTCACTAGGGAGTGCCCCTGTGGGGACTCTGTGTGGGCGCTCCAACCCCATATTTCCTCTCTGCACTGCCCTAGTAGAGGTTCCATGAGGACTCCACCCCTGCCACAGACTTCTGCCTAGACACTCAAGTATTTCCATACATCCTCTGAAATCTAGGAAGAGGCTCTCAGGCTTTAAATCCTGCTCTCCACATGCCTGCAGGCCCAACCACGTGGAAGCTGCCCAGGCTTGAGGATTGTACCCTCTGAAGCAACAGCCCAGGCTGTATTTTGGCCCCTTTTAGCCATGGCTGGAGCTGGATTGGCTGTGATGCTGGGTGCCATATCCAGAGGCAGTGCAGAGCAAAGGGTCCCTGGGTCTAGCCCATGAAACCAATTTTTTTCTCCAAGGCCTCCAGGCCTGTATTGGGTGGGACTGGCATGAAGTCTCTGAAACACCATTGAAACATTTTCCCTATTGTTTGGCTATTAACTTTTGGCTCCACTTTGTTTATGCAAATTTATGCAGCAGGCTTGAATTTCTCTCCAGTAAATGGGGTTTTCTTTTCTACCACATGGACAGTCTGCAAATTTTCCAAACTTTTATGATCTTTTTCCCTTTTAAATACGAATTCCAATTTCATGACCATTTCCTTGTGAGTACATGTGAGCTTATGCTCTTAGAAGCAGCCAGGTCACAATTTGAACACTTTGCTGCTTAGAAATTTCTGCCATCAGATACCCTAGATTATCTCTCTCAAGTTCAAAGTTCCACAAATCCCTAAAGCAAAGCTACAATGCCACCAGTCACTTTGCTAAAGAATAGCAACAGTGACCTTTAACCAGTTCCTAAAAAGTTTATCATCTGAGGCCTCAGTCTGGACTTTACTGTCCACATAACTATCAGTATTTTGTGTGCAACAATTTAAAATGTCTCTAGAAGTTCAACAATGTCCTTCATCTTACAGTCTTCTGAGCCCTCCAAACGATTCCAACCTCTCACCATTACCCAGTTCAAAAGATGCTTCCACATTTTCAGGTATCTTTATAACAAAGCCCCACTTCTCTGGTACTAATTTTCTGTATTAGTACATTGTCACATAGCTAAAAAGAACTATCTGAGACTGGTCCTTTATATAAAAAAAGAGAGTGAAATTTAACTCACATATCTACAAGCTGTTCAGGTGACATGGCTGTGGAGGCCATAGGAAACTTAAAATCATGGCAGAAAGTCAAGAGGAAGCAAGCACTGTTCTCACATGGTGAAGCAGGAAGTGGGGGGGAAGTACTACACACTTTCAAACAACCAGACCTCATGAGAACTTACAATCACAAGAACAGCAGGGGGGAAATCCGCCCCCATGATCCAATCACCTCCTCCTAGGCTCTCCTTCCACAACGCTGAGGACTACAATTCAACATGAGATTTGGGTAGGGCCCAGAACCAAACCATATCAACTACTAATGGGCATTTAGGTAGATTCCACATCTTTGCTATTGTGCATACTACAGAACTAAATATACACATGCATGTGTCTTTATGACTGGACAATTCATATGCATTTGGGTATATGCCCAGTAATGTGATTGCTGGGTTGAATAGTAGTTCTGTTATTAGGTCTTTGAGGAATAACCATATTTTTTTCCACAATGAATGAAAAAATTTACACTCCCCCCATAGCATATAAGTGTTCTTTTTTCTCCACAACCTCATTAGCATCTGTTATTTTTTTTTACCTTTTAAAAATAGCCATTCTGATTGGTGTAAGATGGTATCCCATTATAGTTTTGATTTGCATTTTCCTAGTGATCAGTGATGTTGAGCTTTTTAAAATATAATTGTTGGCTGCATATGTGTCTTCTTTTAAAAAGTGTCTGTTCATGTCCTTTGCTCAAGTTTTATGGTGTTGTTTATATTTTTCTTGTACATTTGTTTAATTTCCTTAATTTGCTAGATATTAGACCTTTTTCAAGTGCATAGCTTGTAAAAATGTTCTCCTATTATGTAGGTTACCTGTTTACTATGTTGATCGTTTATTTTGCTGTGCAGAAGCTATCTAGTCTACTAAGATTGCATTTGTCAATTTTTGCTTTTGTTGCAATTTCTTTTGGCATCTTCATCATGAACTATTTTCCCATTTATATGTCCTGCATGGTATTGCCAAGGTTGTCTTCTAGGCTTTTTTATAGTTTTGGGTTCTATATTTAAGTTTTTAATCCATCTTGATTTGTTATTTGTATGGTGTAAGGAAGGAGTCCAGGTTTATTCTTCTGCATATGGCTAGCCATTTATCACAGCATCATTTATTAAATAAAAAATCCTTTCCTTGTTACTTGCTTTTGTTGACTTTGCTGAAGAGTAGATTGTAGTAGGTGTGTGGCCACATTTCTGGGTTCTCGATTCTGTTCCATTGGTTTATGTATCTGTTTCTGTACCATCACCATGCTGTTTTGGTTACTGTAGCCTTGTTGTATATATTAAAGTTAGGTAGTATAATGCCTCCAAATTTTTCTTTTTGCTTAGCATTTCCTTGGCTATTCAGGCGTTTTTTTTTGTTTTCACATTAATTTTAAAATAGTTCATTATAGTTCTTTGAGGAATGTCATTGGTATTTCCATAGGAATAGCATTGCATTTACAAATTGCTTTGGCAGTGTGACCATCTTAACCATATTGATTCTTCTATCCATTAGCATGCGATGTTTTTCCATTTGTTTGTGTCATCTGGGAATTCTTTGAGCAGTGTTTTGTAGTTCTTCTTGCAGAGATCTTTCACCTCCCTGGTTAGCTGTATTCCTAGATATTTCATTCTTTTTGTGGCAGTTGTGAATGGGATTGCATTCATGATTTGGCACTTGGCTTGGCTTCTGATGATGTATAGACATGTTAGTGATTTTTGTATGTTTATTTTGTATCCTGAGTTTTTGCTGAAGTTGTTTATTAGCTTAAGAAACTTTTGAGCTGAGACTATGCTATGGGGTTTTCTAAATATAGGAGCGTGTCTTCTGCAAACAGGGATAGTTTGATTTCTTCTTTTTCTATTTGGATGTGTTTATTTGTTTGTTGTGCCTATTTGGTCTTGCCAGTACTTCCAATACTGTGTGTAATAGGAGTAGTGAAAGAAGGCATCCTTGTCTTGTGCCAGTTTTCAAAGAGAATGCTTTCAGTCTTTGCCTATTCAGTATGATGTTGGCTGTGGGTTTCTCATAGATGGCTCTTATTATTTTGAGGTATGTTTCTTCAATACCTAATTTCTTGAGAGTTTTAACCTGAAGGAATGTTGAATTTCATCCAAAGGCATTTCTGCATCTATTGAGATAATCATGTGGCTTTTTTCATTAGTTATTTTTATGTAATGACTTACATGTATTGATTTGAGTATGTTGAACTAACCTTGAATTCCAAGGTTAAAGCCTACTTGATCATGGTGGATAAGCTTTTTGATGTGCTGCTGGATTTGGTCTGCCAGTATTTTGCTGTGGAGTTTTTTAAATCAGTGTTCATAATAAATATTGGCCTGAAGTTTTTTTGTTGTTGTTGTTGTACTCTGCCTGGTTTTTGTATGAGGATGATGTGGGCTTCATTGGATGAATTGGGCAGGAGTCTCTCCTCTTTAAGTTTTGTAACAGTTTAGGTAGAAATTGTACCAGAGCTTTTATGTACATTTGGTAGAAATCAGCTTTGAATCTGGCTGGTGCTGGGCTTTTTTTTTAGATTTGTAGGCTATTTATAACTGATTCAATTTAGAGCCATTAGTGGTCTGTTCAGGGATTAAATTTCTTCCTGGTTCAGTCTTGCGAGGGTATATGTGTTCAAAAATCTATCCATTCCTTCTAGATTTTCTAGTTTATGTGCACAGATGTGTTAATAATATTCTCCGATGGTTATCTGTAATTCTTTGAGGTCTCTGGTAATATCCCATTGTTGTTTCTAATTGCATTTATTTGGATCTGTTTACTTTTTTATTATTCTAGATAGTAGTATATCTACTTTATTAAATTTACAAGAAAATAACAACTCCTGGATTTGTTGAGATTTTTTAAAATTTTTTTTTAATCTATCTCAGAGTCCTTCAGTTCAGTTCCAATTTTGGTAATTTCTTGTCCTTAGCTTTGCAGTTTGATTTTAGTTCTTTTCGTCATGATGTTAGGTAGTTAAAATGAGATCTTTCCAACTTTTTGATGTGAGCATTTAGTACTATAAATTTCCCTCTTAACACTGCCTTAGCTGTGTCCTGGAGATTCTGGTGTGTTGTATACTTGTTCTGATTGGTTTTAAAGAACTTCTTGATTTCTGACTTTATTATTTACCCAGAAGTCACTTAGAATCAGGTTATTGCATTTCCACGTTATTGTATGGTTTTCAGGAAATATCTTTGTCTTGATTTCTAACTTGATTGTGCTGTGGTGCAAGATAGTGGTTGTTATGATTTTAGGTGTTTTACCTTTGCTTAGGAGTATTTTGTGTCCAATTATGCAATCAATTTTATAGTGTGTGACATGTTTTAATAAGAAAAATGTATATTTTGTTGCTTTTGGGTGTGAAGTAATGTGGATTTCTATCAGATTCATTTGATCTAATGCTGAGTTCAGGTCCTGAATATCTTTATTAATTTTCTGCCTTGATGATCTGTCTAAAACTGTTAATGAAGTGTGGAAATCTTCTACTATTATTGTGTGAGAGTCTAAGTCTCTTTGAAGTTCTCTAAGAACATGCTTTATGAATCTTAGTGCTCCTGTATTGGGTACATATATATTTAGGATAGTTAGGTCTTCTTGCTGAATTAAAACCTTTACCATTAAGTAATGCCCTTTTTTGTCTTATTTGATTTTTATTGGTTTAAAGTCTGTTTCATCTGAAATTTAGGATTGAAACCTTATCTGTTTTCTGTTTTCCATTTGCTTGGTAGATATTTTTTCATCCATTTACTTTGAGCCTGTGGGTATCACTGCATAAGAGATGGGTCTCTTGAACACAGCATACCAATAGGTATTGGTTCTTTATCTAGCTTGCCACTCTGTGCCTTTTAATTGGTGAACTTAGCCCATATACATTCAAGGTTAATATTGTTACGTGTCGGTGTGATTCTGTCACTGTGATATTAGCTGGATATTATGTAGACTTGTTTATGTGGTTGCTTTATAATGTCACCAGTCTGTGTACTTAAGTGTGTTCTTGTAGTGGCTTGTAACAATATTTTCTTTCCATATATAATGCTTCCTTCAGGAGCTCTTGTAAGGCAGGTCTGGTGGTAACAAAGTCTCTCAGCATTTGCTTGTTCAAAAATATCTTATTTCTCCTTCACTTATGAAGCTTAGTTTGGCTGAATAAAAGATTCTGGAATGAAATTTCTTTTCATTTAGAATGTTGAATATTGGACCCCAATCTCTTCTGACTTTAAAGTTTCTGCTGAGAGGTCTGCTATTAATTAGTCTGATGAGCTTCCCTTTGTGGTGACCTGACCTTTCTCTCTAGCTGCCATTAACATTTCTTTCTTTCATTTCAACCTTGGAGAATCTGATAATTATGTGTCCTGAAAATGATCTTTTGTGAAGTATTTTACTGGGGTTCTCAGCATTTTCTGAATTTAAATGTTGGCCTTTCCAACCTGATTGAAGATGTTCTCATAGATGATATGCTGAACTATGTTTTCCAAGTTGCTTCCATTTTCTCCATCTCTTTCAGGGACACCAATGAGTCATAGATTTGGTCTCTACATAATTCCATATTTCTTGGCGGTTTCGTTCATTCCTTTTCATTACTTTTTCTTTAGTCTTTTCTGACTAACTTATTTCAGAAAGCTGATCTCTTCAAGCTCTCACCTTGGTCTATTCTGCTACTAATATTTGTGATTGTATTATAAAATTCTTGTAGTGTGTTTTTCTACTCTACCAGGTTGATTATGTTCCTTTCTGTACTGGCTATTTTGTCTGTCAGCACCTGTATCATTGTATTGTGATTCATAACTTTATTGGATTGAGTTTCAACATACTCCTGCACCTCAAAGAGCTTTGTTGCTATCCATATTGTAAATTCTACTTCTGCAATTTCAGCAATCTCAGCTCACTTCAGAATCCTTGATGGAAAGGTGATGTGGTTGTCTGGAGGAAAGAATGTACTCTAGCTTTTTGAGTTGTTAGAGTTATTGCATTGGTTCTTTCTCATCTTTGTGGGCTGATGCTAATTCAATCTTTGATGTTGCTCACCATTGAAAGTTTTATTTTTCCTTTTATCCTATTTGATGACCATGAGCGTTTGATTGTGGCATAAGCCAATTGAATGGCTTTCTTTCTGGATGATTTCATGGGACCAATGTTCAGCTCCTAACTCCTAGACTGTGTGCTCTAACTCTGGGGGACTTGTATTGGGCCCCAACTTTGTCATCTGCCTACTCAATGTAAGGAGTCCACTGTGCTAGGGTCTGAGGTGCTCCTTGACTCCTGGTCACTACACTTCAATGGGTGGTGTCAGACAAATCATGCTGCAGTGGCAGCATGGTGGGGTGCACGATCATCAGCTGTGGCAGGGTGCTGGATACTTTTATTCTTATATGCAATTTTTTTGTTTCCTGATGTTGGAGAGATTTTGGTATAGACATTACTATTAATCATATAGTCACTTTGGAGATCATTATGGTACTCATATACCAAACTACCTTAGATCTTCCATAATTTATCATACCTTCTGACCGTTGTGACAACGGAAAATTGTGGCCCATTGGCCAAATTTGGTAAGCAGACATGTGTTACTTGTACCCTTTACAACTGACAGAAAATAATTAGGAAGTTGCCAATAGTTTAAAAGGAAATTTCACAAACAAGTCTGAGTGTGTGGCTTTTCTGGAAAATATTAGAAAATGTGTTGTCAGTGAATCTGCAACTATCTCACATAGCAACAATCAGCTGGAGCTGTGTGAGGAATTCACAGTTCTCAACAGTTTTACTTTCTAACATGTGGCTTGCTCAGCTCATTTGTTTCT
This sequence comes from Homo sapiens, assembly GCF_000001405.40. Lineage (NCBI taxonomy): Eukaryota > Metazoa > Chordata > Mammalia > Primates > Hominidae > Homo > Homo sapiens. Next base: position 54,929,862 of record NC_000010.11, read on the forward strand.
AATATCTGGTCTGCTGTACCATTTTAACATATGAGTTAAAAATAAATTATTTAAGCAGATAGATAGGATAAGGAAGTCTTCCGTGAAGTTTACTTTTTAATGAGAAGTAGTCCCCAAATCATTTGTTTTCTAACTAAGAGCAGCCTGTAAAATTGAGCTGCAGACATAGATAAGCAAGCTGGAGCACAGGTGAATGCTGGCAGCTGTGCCAATAGTAAAAGTCTACCTGGGGGCTAGGCATGTTCAACATGACATCTCCATCTTTCCTTTTCCTTGCCAACCACGTGTACAGTAAGGAGCACACAACGTGGAGCCAACCAAGTAAAAAATCCATTTGCATAATAAAAGATTAGGGTGGGGTTGCAAGGTTCTTCACTCACTGTGTAAATGTCCTGCCTGGTACAACCAATCTTTGAGACCTATGTAAATCAGACACCACCTCCTCAAGCCAGTCTATAAAACCCCAAGTGCTTCACTGTAGGACCGGAAGTCCCACTCAAGTGCCCCTCTCTTTCGCAGGAGACAGAGCTATTCTCTTCCCTCTTTCTTTTACCTGTTAAACCTCCACTCCTAAACCCACTTATTGTGTGTTTGCATCCTTGACTTCCTTGGGGCAAGACAATGAACCTCAGGTATTTACCCCAGACAACGATGCTGCTTCAATTTGTTTACTCTGTTTTCCTTTACTTGAATTTTTGATTTCAACACTTGTGTGACTAGCTTGGTCAAGGTAACCTTGGCTCTCTCATTTGGTTTAAATGTCCTTTTAATGACTCTGTACCTTATTTATTCTTATAGAAATAATAAACCTTGAAATTATTATATTATATAATGTTTACATATTAACATGATACTAACTTTCCTATCAATACTCTAAGATTTCTGAGGTCCTAGCTCATGTTCCTCTTTGCATTCCAAATAACTGTAAAGTGTAGGAATTCAGTTAATAGTTCTTGTTTGATTGAACAAAGAGATCTAATAACATGAAAAATTTAATAAGACATACGTAATCAATTACATACGTACTTACTAATAGAGTAACAAAACATTTGGGCAATTTTTGTCTCTTATGAATAATTTACAATGTATTTCCATCAGAATTATGAATTAGCATGATTGATGGCATGATTGATGGATTATATATTTACTTAATCTCCTTTGGAGCTACATTCCATTTTTCCTGGAGTATTTTACTTTCAAACTATACTTTAGGACCATTTTATCAAATAACAACTTCATGTTTATTTCAGATACATAAAATTATATCAAAACCACATTTCTGAGCATTTGAAAACTGGCATGAAGAGTGACAGTGATGAGCTATATTATCCTCTGGGTTTTATCATTCTGATACATTCCTGCTTGTCATTTTGCAAGTGTTTTCTGGAATATATTCTGTTAAACAGAAACATATCATTTATTTCAAATAAATCATTGTGTGACTTTTCAGTAACGTTTGAAACATCTACTAAAACTCAAATATGAAGTTAACCTCTATATTCCAAAGCAAATGTCATAGAATGATGTCAGATTTCCAGGATATTCTCATACACAGGGAGAGTTTCCTACTCCACACTAGTGGGCAACCAGTGAATTCTGCTTGTGCTGAGGTATAAGCCCATTTAATTCCCTGGAGCAGATGGATACCTTGGTGTATAGGCAGATTTGTCCACTTAATATAGTGTGCCTTACAAACAATATCTTTTCTATGTGTTCCAAAAATCTGTAAGTGGGTGGTATTCACTGTTATTCATCCTGAACTTTAGGAAGTCCTGCCTTTGAGACAGAGAAATAAAGACACATCTGCTAGGACAATCCTCATTTTGGTGATTGTACTGCCTTTTGCATTTTTGCAAGTTTTATAATAAACCATTAATACATACTGGGATTTGCAGGGTTTTTTAAATCCTTGCAGAACTCACAGTCTAGTGTTTTGTAGTTTCAGAAAGCATTTCATGTCTTTTGTTTCATTTGTTTTCTCTATTTCAGAGAGGCTTAGTGCATTGTTCAGAATCATTAAGTAAAGAGCAAATGAAGAGTTGCTACTTAACCCTAGGGAAAGAAAATGCACCTCCATATTAAAGACCACTCTGCTTTCACACTCCACTTAGACTGTACATACAGTCATATGCCTCTTAACAACGTTTTGGTGAACGATGAACCATATATGCTACAGTGATTCCATAAGATAATAATGGAACTGAAAAATCTCTAACACCTAGTATTTACTACAGCATACTTTTAATCCTTATTTTAGAGTGTACTTCTACTTATAAAAAAAGTTAACTGTAAAATAGGCTCACGCAGGTCCTTCAGGAAGTATTTCAGAAAAAGGCATTCTTATCAGAGGAGATGAGCGCTTCACGCATGTCACTGCCCATGAAAACTTTCTAGTGGGATAAGATTTGGAGGTGAAGACAGTGATATTGATTATTCTGACCCTGTGTATGCCTAGGCTAATGTGTGTGTTTGTGGCTTAATTTTTATATAAAATTTTTAGAATAAGGATATAAAGAAAGAACATATTTTTGTACAGCTGTATGATGTGTTTGTTTTAAGCTAACTCTCATTGCAAAGATTAAAAAATGTTAAAAAATTTAAAAGTTTATAAAGTGAAAAAGTTATAATATGCTAAGGTTAATTTATTATTGAAAAGGCAATTTTATAAGTTTAGTGTCACCTAAGTTTATCATGGTTTTGTTTGTTGGTTTGAGACGGAGTCTCATTTTGTCGCCCAGGAGTACAGTGGTGCCATCTAGGCTCACTGCAAAATCAAGCAATCCTCCTGTCTCAGCCTCCTGAGTAGCTGGGATTACAAGCCTGTGCCACCATGCCCAGCTAATTTTTGCATTTTTAGTAGAGAAGGGGTTTCACCATGTTGATCAGGCAGGTCTCAAACCCCTGACTGCAGATGATCCACCCGCCTCGGCCTCCTAAAGTGCTGGGATTACAGATGTGAGCCACTGCGTCCAGCCCATGTTTTTAAAGTCTACACTAGTGTGCACTAGTGTTCTAGGCCTTCACATTCACTCATCACTCACTCACTCACCCACTCACCCAGAGCAACTTTCATTCCTGCAAGGTTCATTTATGGTTAAGTGCTCTATAAAGGTGTACCATTTTTATCATTTATATTTTTACTGTATCTTTTCTATGTTTTGATATGTTTAGAAACACAAATAACATTGTATTACAATTGTCTACAGTATTCAGTATAGTAACATGCTGTATAGGTTTATAGACTATGAGCAATAAATTATACCATATAGCCTATGTGTGTAGACAACATCATCTAGGTTTGTGTAAGTACACTCTATGATGTTCATACAACAAAATCTCATAATGACACATTTCTCAGACTGTATCTCTGTCAGTCAGTGTTTCATGATTGTGATTAATTGCCCTCAATAAGCTGAGTAATTTCAAGTAGTTGTGAATTAAAATTTTGATGGGTCTGCTGATTGTGACAGTTTTTATGTAAAAAAAAATGTGTTTTATATTGTTTCTTGGGTGAGACCTCTCTGCTTTTCCCCACCAGTTGCTAACTAAGAGCAGCAGGTATAAAATAGAAAAACATGATTATTCTTGAAGTGTAGATTAGAAAGATTCAAGTTCATTTCCTACAACCTGATACACATACAATGGAATAGAAGAGCAAAAGAGAAGACAAGGTATCACCACTGTTCTATCCTTGAAAATTTGTCTGATACAGGAAATTTATCAGCATAAAGCTAATTGCCAGTTTGAGATTTAACAAATCCACTTGTTTGCCTTAATTAGTACCCATTTCCCACCAAGAAAACCTTGATAAAATTCCTTAAAAAGCTGGCCTTTTTTAAACCCATGCACCTTAGGTGAGTAATATTAATTAGATATTTTAATTATGGATTCCATGTGCAAACTTTATCAGTGAAAAACTGCTATTATACTGTGGCACTCTTACTTTAAATTGACTCTGTAATAACTCTGAAAGCTGTGTAAAGTAAAATTAAATCCTTATCCGTAGACAATTGCTTTAGCACTTGTTCCTGTGTTCATGAGGTACCAAGGTTAGGCTGCTATTACTTACTGTGAATATAAATTTAAAAGTCCAGTTATTTGCATTCTTGCTTCGGTGTACCCTGAACATAATGAATTAAGATATAGAGACACTATCAATATAAAGGTGTAACATCAAAGAACAGTAATTGATTTCCTAAAATAACGTCATGTATATAAACTCCAAACCAGATTTTTAGGTAAGGAATTGTGACGTTAGTAAATAAACTTGTGATTTGAAATCTATAGTGTTTAATAATTTGTGGGAATTTTTTTGTCCTATTGTCTGTTCTTTATTTTTCCCTTGTGTGTCTGTTACTAAAAGCACATAATTTATCTTCATATGTTCTTAAACTTATCTCCAAATTTTAAAAGGATTTTAAAACACATGACATGAGAGAGGACCAGAAAATATTCATGTGTATATACTAAGATATTATGTTAATAGTTATATATAATTTGGAGGGTGACTATAGTCTGAAAATACTAAAAATTTTTTTTATTGAACTCCCTGATTATTTATTCTGGGCTATGCTAAACTCATGGACATTCAGGAAAAATTAGAGATAAAAATCATTTTATCCATCATCACTGGCCATCAGAGAAATGCAAATCAAAACCACAATGAGATACCATCTCACACCAGTTAGAATGGCGATCATTAAAAAGTCAGGAAACAACAGGTGCTGGAGAGGATGTGGAGAAATAGGAACACTTTTACACTGTTGGTGGGACTGTAAACTAGTTCAACCATTGTGGAAGTCAGTGTGGCGATTCCTCAGGGATCTACAACTAGAAATACCATTTGACCCAGCCATCCCATTACTGGGTATATACCCAAAGGATTATAAATCATGCTGCTTTAAAGACACATGCACACGTATGTTTATTGCGGCACTATTCACAATAGCAAAGACTTGGAACCAACCCAAATGTCCAACAATGATAGACTGGATTAAGAAAATGTGGCACATACACACCATGGAATACTATGCAGCCATAAAAAAGGATGAGTTCATGTCCTTTGAAGGGACATGGATGAAACTGGAAATCATAATTCTCAGTAAACTATCGCAAGGACAAAAAAACCAAACACCGCATGTTCTCACTCACAGATGGGAACTGAACAATGAGAACACATGGACACAGGAAGGGGAACATCACACTCTGGGGACTGTTGTGGGGTGTGGGGAGGGGGGAGGGATAGCATTAGGAGATATACCTAATGCTAAATGAGGAGTTAATGGGTGCAGCACACCAACATGGCACATGTATACATATGTAACTAACCTGCACATTGTGCACGTGTACCCTAAAACTTAAAGTATAATAATAATAATATAAAAAATCATTTTAAAATACACATCACAGATGCTTATGCAGAGACCGATGAAAATTCTGCATTCATTCACTAAGTTCAATGCAACTTTTGAGAGCTAACTGAATGCATTGATGCCAAGGGATAATACATCAACTGAATTTTTATTGTGAGCCATTTATCATATATATTTTCCTATGTTTCCAGACATTAAGTCCACCTTGTATAATTAATTTTATTAGTTTGGTTGCTTAAAATATACCCTTCAAATGCAAAAGCAATTACTAAAATGGAGTTGAATCCTAAAAGTCACTATAGTGTGCACCTCTGGTAACTTCATTTTTCTTTCCTTGCTAACCTTTGCTTGCCCCAAATTACACACAAAGTAAAACATAAAATCTCTCACCATGGTAGCTTTACCCTCTAAATTGTACTCACATACTCAGTTCCTGAACTTATATTTTGCAATTTTCCTTCGTATCCCCTTCATACAATATTACATACTATCTACCACATAATTCCTTTCTATTATTGCCTCTGAATTTTTTTATACTATTTCATTTCACTGGAATTTAATTCATTATTACATTGTTATTCTTAAATTCCATAACTGTGAGACATGTCCCCCAAAAGGAATTTTTTTATGTTCTGAAAGCATTTTATCATTTATTGATATATAACTCACTATACAACTACCAATTTGCAGTACAAAATTCAGTGATTTTAGTGAATTCACAGAGGTTTGCAACCACCACTGCAATAAATTCTCATAACATTTTATTCACTTCATAAAGAAATACCATACCCATCAATTGTCACTCATCATTCCCCTCAATACCCTCAGTTCTAGGCAACCACAGATTGACTTTGGGTCTCTATAGATTTGAAGATTCAAGATATGGCATATAAGTGGACTCATATAACATGGGGTCTTTATATGACTGGTTTCTCTCACTTAGTGTAATATTTTCAATATTTATCCATGTTGTTGCAAGCATATTTATTTTATTGCCATATTAAATTTCATTGTGTGGATATACTACATTATATATGTCCATTCATTAGTTGATGAACATTTGGCTTCTTTCTACTTTTGACTATTATGAATGACAATGCTTGAACATTGTGTACAGGTTTGTGTATAGTCGCATGTTTTCCCTTCTCTTGGGTATATATCTAGGAGTGGAATTGCTCTGTCATAAGGGCAAGTTTGTTTAAAATACTGAGTAACTGCCAAACAGTTTTCTAAGATTTTTGGAACATTTTACATTCCAGCCAACAACGTGTAGAGATTCTAATTTGTTTACATCCTTATTGATATCTATTTGTAATGTATTTTTTATTACAGCCATCACCCTAATGAATGCAAAAATATATATTACTGTGAATTTAATTTTCTCTTCACAAATAACTAATGATAATCATAATTCCATGTTTTCTTTAGCCATTTTTTATCTTCATAGGAATAGTGTCTATTACTTTTTTGCACATTTTTATTGTTTTTTTTTTTAGTTTTTAGTTTTAAGAGTTTTTTTATATACTTAGGAAACAAGTCTTTTATTATATGTATAATTTTCTGTTGATTGCCTTTCTACTTTCTTGATGTTTTACCAAGCACAAAATTTTTAATTTTGATGTAGTCTAATTATCTATTTTTCTTTTGTTGTTTGTGCTTTTTGTCATATTTAATAATTAATCACATAATCCAAAATCACAATGATTACTTCTATGTTTTCTTCTAAGAGTTCTATGGTTTTATTTCTTACGTTGAGGTCTATCATCTATCTGGAATTAATTTTTGTGCATCGCGTAAGGAACAGTTCCAACTTAATTGTTGTGTATGTATTTATCCACTTGTCTCCATATCACTTCTTGAAAGATTTACCCCATTGAAATCTCGCAATACTCTTGTTGAAAATCAGTGAAGAGGCTTATTTTTGAATTCTGAATTCTGTGTCTATCCTATGTCAAGATCATACTTTTGATTACCGTGGTTTTGTAGTAAGTTATACAATTGGAAAATGTAAGTCCTTTAAATGTGTTATTCTTCTTCTAAGGTTGTTTTGGAAATTCTGGGCCCTTGAATTTCAGAATGACTTTTAGATCTGGCTTGCGAATTTCTGCAAGAACAAAAAAAGCACTTTGATCATGATAGGGATTGCACTGAAATCATAGATCAATTAAGAGATATATTGCCATCTTAATGATATTAAATCTCCTAATCCCTGAACATAAGATTTTTTCCCATTTATTTATATTTTATTTAATTTTTTAAAATAATGTTCTCTAGTTCGCCGTGTCTAAGACTTTCACTTATTTTGTTAAATTTATTCTTTAGTATTTTGTTTTTTGGGGTGTTATTGTAAATGTAATTAATCACTTGGTTTAATTTTTGGTTTGTGAATCACTAATGCATAGTAATACAATTGAATTGTGGATGTCGATCTTAGACTCTGCAACCTCGATGGTCTTAATTATCACTTTTAGTAATAATCACCACTAAATTACTACTACAGAAAATAATTTAATTAGGAAATGAATTCCTTAGAATTTTCCATCTGCAAAATTATGTCATCTTCAAATAGAGATACTTAAAAATTTCTTATTCCAAGACTTTATTTTTTCCTTGCCAAACTACCTTGTCTAGAACTTTGAGTACAATGTCAAATGGGAATGGTAAGAGAAAACGTCCTTGTCTCATTCCTTATCTTAGGGGAAAACATTTAGTCTTTCACCTTTAAGTAAGAGGATTCTCTTAGTTTTCCATTGTTGTCCTTCTTCAGTATGAGAAAGTTCTCTCTATTCCTATTTGTTGAATATTTTTAATCATTAAAGAGTGTTAGATTTTGTCAAATGTTTTTTGCTTCATCTATTAAGATGGTCATGTGCTTTGTGTTCTTTATTCAGTTGTTAAACTATCATTAGATTTCTGAGATGAATCACACTTGATCGTAGTGTATAGTACTTTTTATATGTTGATGGATGTAGTCTGCTAGTATTAAGTGAAATTTTTTTGTCTATATTCATTAAAGATATTACTTTATAGTTTTACTTACTCGTAATATTTCGGTTTAGCATAGTGTATAGTACTTTTTATATGTTGATGGATGTAGTCTGCTAGTATTAAGTGAAATTTTTTTGTCTATATTCATTAAAGATATTACTTTATAGTTTTACTTACTCGTAATATTTCGGTTTAGCTTTCACATGCCAGCAATACATAGAATGGGTTGGGATGTAATATATTCTATTCTATTTTTAAAAAATTGTTGGGGAGAATTGGTATTAATTTTTTCTTAAATATTTGTCATAATTTATGAAGTAAGGCATCTGAGCCAGAAATTTATTTTGTGAGACATTTATACTTTTCTATTTTAATCTCTTTACTCATTATAGATTGTGGTAGACAGAATGATCATTCTGCAAAAATGTTCACCTCCTAATAACAGAAACTGTTGATATGTTAATTTATATGGCAAAAGACTCTGCAAATATAATTAATTTAAGAGCCTTGATAAAGGGAGATTATTCTAGATAATTTTGGTGATTGCAATCTAACCACACGGATCCTTAAAAGTGGAGAACTTTTCTCCGCTCTGATCTTAGAGAGATGTCATTCTGGAAGAAAGATATAGAAAAACGTAAAGTTTCTGGCTTTGAAAATGGAGAAAGGGGCCATAAGCAAAGGATTGTGGCTAGCATCTAGATTCTGGGAAGGTTACAGAAATGAATTTTAAACAAGACCTAACAAAATGAAAGTAAGCCCTGGTAATATCTTGATTTTATTCTTTTGAGAACTGTGACAGTTTTCTGACCTACAGAAATGTAAAACAATACATTTATGTTGATTTAAGTCACTGAATTTTTGGTATTTTTTTTGCAGCAGCAATATAAAATAAACACATAAGTCTTCTCAAATTTCCTGTTTCTTATTGAGTCAGTTTCAGTAGTTTGTGTCTTTCTAGGTAATTTTCTATTTTATCAAAAGTGATGTAGGCCGGGCGTGGTGGCTCACGCCCGTAATCCCAGTACTTTGGGAGGCTGAGGTGGGTGGATCACGAGGTCAGGAGATTGAGACCATCCTGGCTACCACGGTGAAACCTCGTCTCTACTAAAAAAAACAAAAAATTAGCCGGGCGTGGTGGCGGGCCCCTGTAGTCCCAGCTACTCGGGAGGCTGAGGCAGGAGAATGGCATGAACCCGGGAGGCGGAGCTTGTGGTGAGCCGAGACCTCGCCACTGCACTCCAGTCTGGGCAATAGAATGAGACTCCGTCTCAAAAAAAAAAAAAAAAAAAAAAAAAAAAATCAGTGATGTAATTTGTAGGCATTTGGTAGTTCGTAGTATTCATTTAAAATCTTTTTGCATTTCTGGATAGCCAGTCATAAAGTCCCTTCTTTTATTATTTCTGAGTCAGTAATTTGAGTGTTCTTCCTTTTTTAATCAGCAAAGGGAAGGTTTTGTAAAATAAAAATGTGTTGGTCACAGTTCTGGAAGCTGTGAAGTCCAAGATTAAGGCACCGACAAATATGACATCTGGTGAAGACTCACTTTATGATTCAGAAACAATGCCTTTTTGTTGTGTCCTCAGATGGTGCAAGGGGCAAAACAGGTTCCCTCCAGCCTGTTTTATAAGAGCACTAATCTAGTTCGTGAGATCAGAGACCTCATGACCTAATAACCTTCCAAACAACCCAGCTCTTAATACCTACCATCACCTTAGGGGTTAGGTTTCAACAAGTGAATTTGGAGGGACACATTCAGACTACAGCACACCTTTTGATTTTTTGGTTTTCTCTATTGTTATCTCTTCCATTAATTTCATCTATAATCATTATTTCCTACCATGTGTTGGCTTTAAGTTTAGTTTTTTCCTTTTTTAAAATGTATCAGTGTCTTTAGGTTTAAGTTAGGTTACAGATTTGTGATTATTATTTTTTAAAATATATATACTTACAGATATAAATTTCATTCTAAGCATGGGTTTCACTGTATCGTATAAGTTTTATTATATTGTGTTTCCATTTTATCTCAAAATATGATTGAATTTCCCTTGTAAATTCTCTTTGGTCCATTGATTGTTAAAGAGTGTGTTGTTTAATGTCCAAATATTTGTAAATTTTCTCAGTTTTGCTCTGTTGTTCGTTTTTTATTTAGTTCTATTTTGGTCAGAGAAACTTTGTGTGATTTCACATATTTTAAACTTATTGAGGCTAGTTTTATGGCCTACAATATGATCCTTGAATACGTACCATTTGCATTTGAAAAGAAAGTATATAGTGCTGTATTGGATAGGTTATTCTGTAGGTCTCTCTTAGATCTAGATCTAGATCTGGTTGGTTTATGCTGTTGTTCAAGTCTTCTATGTCTTTATTGATCTTTCTACTTGTTCCATCTACTGTTGAAAGTGGACACTGCAGCCTGCAGATATGGTTGCATTCTCTATCTCTTAATTTGTCCATTTTTTTCTTCATGTATTTTGGTGTCTTGCTGTTGGGTGAATATGTGTTTGTAACTCTTATATCTTTGTGATGGAGTGCCCCTCTTATCATTAGAAAGTTTTCATCTTTATCTGCGGTAATTAAAAAAAAACTTTTTATAGTCTATAGTTTATTACTAATATGGTTCCTCTAGCATTCTTGTGGTTGCTATCATTTCCATCCTCATATTTTCCACCTATTTGAATCTTTGAGTCTAAAGTGTGTCTCCTATAGACAATATAAAGTAGGATTTTAGAAAATTCTGTCTAGCAATGACTGCTTTTTGATTAGATTGTTTCATTTATTTACTTTTGATGTCATTGTTTATATAGTTAGATTTATGTCTTCCATTTTATTTTTGTGTTTTCTGTATGCTTTTTTGGGTCTTGTGTTCTTTTTCGCTTCTTTAATTTTCATTAAGTAAATACTTTTTGGTGCAATATTTCAATTACTTTAACAATATGTTTACTTTTTAAAATTTTCTTAATGTTCAATCTAGAGCTCAAAATATACATCTTATTTTAAACTACTTCACCTCCATAGTCAATTTAACTCCAGTGAGATACAGAAACATTACACTATATATCTCTATTCCCTTTCTACCCCTCTTTTTTGTGCTACAATTTTATACATATTACATTGTACAATGATTATTTTACTTCAAATCTGTTGAGATTCCCTAGAGAACATTTCGTTTCAACATCTGTACTTTTCAATTCCAAGATTTATTTTTGGTTTCTTACAATAATTTTTATCTCCTTATTGATGTTTTCTATTTTATGAGGCATTGCCATCTTACTGTACTGTATGTTGTTAAATATTTCTTTTAGTTCTTTGAACACATTTAGAATAGATACTTTGAAGATTTGTCTGCTAACCCAGCATCTGCCTGTTTTTGTCATTGTTTTGTTTTCATTGTTTTTAACATGTGCATGATCATACTTTATTACCTCTTTGTAGACCGTGTAATTTTTTGTTAAAACCTAGAGTTTTAAAAAATTATATATTTTAGCAAATCTGCATACTGATTCCCTGCTCTATACTGGAGATTATATTTGTTATGTTCTTGTTTATAGTTTTTACTAACTTGGTTTGACTACTTTATTGAAGTCTATTTCCCCCCCGTATTGTACAACAATCTAATATTGATCTTCAAATGATTCAGCCTTGGGAATGTGCATATTCTCTGGGCGATGCAGTAACTGCTTTAGTCAGACTCTCTTTGACTGTCTCTTTCAATGATTTCTCTGGTAAGCTATCTGACACTCCAAGTATCACACCCAGTTGTTACCCTCTACTAATTCCTATCTGATTGCACTATTATTTTTGACAATACTCTGGGGCTGGAATATCTCCCCAATATAGTCCAATCAGAATAGGACTGATTTTCAGGAATCAAAGGCCAACGTTTATGGCTTATTCTGACTGTGCTCTTCGGTCTACACTTTCCTAAACTTTTTCATTCTAAATAAATTCTGCTTCCTTGGGAAGATACATGATGCTCTCTGTTTTCACTCCCTTTTTCTCTTCTTGGGTCAAACCTCTGTGTTGTTCATTAGGAACCACAGATATGCTTTGCCATTCTGAGGGAGATGTGGGTTGTGGTGCCAATGCCACAGGTTTGCATTGCTTCTATCAGAATTTAGTAGATTTTATTTTATTTGAGGAATGTCCTTTGGAAAATATCCAGAGACTTTAAATTGTTTGCTTATTTGTAAATAATTTTCACGAGTTATTTTTTTTTCCTGGGGACCAGGTTCATAGCTCTTCACTATTCCAGAAATCAGTCCTCAAATAATTTTAATAACATGTTTTAAATATTCTTTATGTAATGTAATGCTTTGCATACTATAAGCATGTTAAAGGTAGTAGCTATGCCTTAGTTGTATTTTTCATACCTGGAATGACTTATCACAGCCACACATCTGCACACATTATAATCTCAGTATGTGCTTTTTGTGCTAAATATGTAGCACAAGGTCAAAGGCTTACCTTTACAACTTCCTTATTTCTTATAGAGTGCGGAGCCTGAAAACAGGTTTTCCAATTATTGCTGAAATTATTTTCAGTGTAGTTAAATAGATTGTTAGAGAACCACTGAATAATATGTAAGCCAAGTAAAGATGCTGCTTCTGTTATTGTCATCATAAAATACCCAAATGGAAACTTTACTCTGTGCTAGGTCACAGATTAAGCTAAAGAGTGTCATACTTTATGGCAATGCATAATGTGGTGCCTTATTTGTCAGAATGAGTTAAATTGACTCTCTAAGTCACTGCTGAGCATAAAGCAAAGCCCCTGAGGGAGAATATTGCTGAATTTATTCCATGATTGTCAGATACTATATTAGTATCTTATTGCTGGTGTAAGAAATCACAAATTTATTTGTTTTAAAACATCATTTATTTATTCTTACAATTCTGTATGTTAGAAGTCAAACACTGATCTCCTTGGGCTCAAGTTTTCAGCAGGAAAGCTACCTTTCTTTCTAGAGACTCTAGAGGAGAATGTGTTTCATTGACAATTCCAACTTTGCAAGCCACTCATATTCCTTGTCTCTTGGTGTTCATCCTCAAAGCCAATAATGGTGGGTCAAATTCTTCATACATTGCATCATTCTAACATTCTCTTCTGCTGTTTTCTTCCATTCTTAAGACATTTTGTGATTACAATGTGCTCACCTGAATAATCTAAGATAAATTTGCTCTGCCTATGTAATTAGGAAGTGGGTACTATTTTTATATCCATTTAACTCATGGCAAAATTGTGGCTCAGAATATTAAGTGATTTGCCCCTGGTGCAGTAAAACTTGAAAACATATGGTTCTTATGAAATGAAGTATCACATACCAAGAGCTACTGGGAAAATTGCAAGCACACAACTATGGAGTATGTTAAAGAGCATTGTAATGGATATAATGCATTTGATATATAAAGCCAATATATATTTTATTTCTTAGAAATCTTGTTTCTCTGCGACTCAACATCCTTTGTACCAATGTCATCCATCATTTCATGTGCAGAGCAAGTATATCTTAGAATAAAGTGGTGATTCCTCTGGTTAAGATTCAAATCAGACTTTTTGATCTTAAAAAAAGCACGATCTTAAGAACCAGGCTTTTCTGAGAGTAAAATAATTTTTCTAAATTCCAAAGTTTTCCTTGGCTAGAAAAAAAAAAAGCATGACATTCTGAGTAAAGATCTCTTAAAGAGAAGATAAAAGACATGGTTTAAAGGGAGTTTCTATCCCACAGCAAGAAATAAAGCCTTTCTCAACAGTAGGTAGTTTAGCCAAGAATAAAGATTCAGAGGAGATAAGGCCTGGGTTAAATTTCTGTCTAAATTTCTAAGAACATATGTCTCAGCCAATTAGGCCAAGACCCAAAGCATGGACCAAAAGGAGTAAAATCCCACATAAGCAAAGTGGGTGGCTGACAACAAAACATTTGAAACTCATTTTTTAGAATTCCCCATGACCAAATTGGGTGATTAGGGAAAAGTAAAACTGTGGTATGGTAGCATGTGTTTAGGTTGAGAAAGGGTTTGACAAAATGTAGCTCTATTTCCCCACAGCCTGCATCTGACATTGACAAAAATGTATGTGTTCCTATGTGTCTTGTGGGATGCAAAAGGTTTCTGTGAATTACAAGTCAGCAGACTGTCTAATGATTTTCTATGCTGAGGTGTAAGATGATAGCAAGCCTATTGTGAATCTAAATTAAAAGGAAGGGATGTGGCATGGTTGAGAAGCGCAAGATTAACAGAATCAACTAAAGGGCAGTCAGAGGAGCTGTCTGGATTTTGGGGACTAATGCTCAAGAATTATCTAGGCAGTGAATACACAGTTTATGCTAGTTATTTTTTAAGCAGCCAATCCATTATACAGACGCTGTTGACTAAAGAAAGTCCACATATCAACATATCAGTCAGAGGTCAGCAGAAGACAGAAGAAGCATTTAAAAAATTATTGTTTACCCCTCTCAGGTTGTTATATGAGCTATTGGGTGGTTTTATACCATCAGGTAAGTATGAAATTTTATTGAGATACGATATGTGAGACTAAGGTGTGTGTATATGTTGGGGAGAATACAAAGGATAGTTGGCTAGACTGAGTGGTGAAACCTTAAAAGTCTAATTATTTATCAAAAGGAAACTTTGTTTACCTTAAAAAGATCATGTTGAACTAGAAAAGACTGAATAACTTAAATGGACAATTTTTTTTTCAATTTGTTTTTATTTGTATTTACACTGTAAGCAGTCCTGAAGACACTAGAAATAGATAAGATCAGTCATGAAAAACTGAAAAGATTACCTTTTTCATATGTGTGTCATTGTGTGCAAAGGTTGACTTCTGCTACAGCAGATATAATCCTTCTAACATATTTTGCATCAGTGGAATTTTTCTTTTCAATTTTATTGCAGCACCAAGTTTTATTATATTTTTGTTGAAAGATACATAGAAAATAAATACTTTCTGATATTTTACAATAACAGTGAAACTATTTCAAAAGGAAGAAAGGGATTGAACCATTATCCAAGCAACAGAACATATAATTATGCCAATGAAAGGGGCTGTCTTATCATTGTTCTTAGAATCTTAAGAGATAGGTGCAGATAGATGGATGTATGGATAGATAGATAGATAGATAGATAGATGATAGATAGATATATAGATAGATAGATAGATAGATAGATAGATATAAAAACAAGACTCAGATGACTACACGAGGTCTTTCCAACTTTCAAAAACATGGAATTATTTTGCCTTTTTTTTTTGGTGTTTTTTTGATGTTGTGATTCAGTTTGTCATTTGCCTGAGAAATCAGTATGAGAAATTTGTATTGATCACTATTTGAAGAGCATATAAATATATAATTTTCATGGTAAATATTCATAAATTGGAACCATGGTATTAAAGAGAAATTTGTTTTTATGTTGCTGATAATTGATTCCTTCACCCTACTCTAAACAGTAGCCTTTCTAAAATGGCCATCCAAGCAGCCATTGGAGTTTAAATGGCTGGAAGCACTTTTATTCATTCATTCTTTAAGGCTCAATCTTACCTCATCCAGGGGCTGCATTACGTTCACATAGAAGAAACAAAAAATGTCAGCAAGTATTGGGATCTGCAGATTTATTTTAAAGACTGGGTGAGTCTATATTCTCAAAAGTGTTGTACTTTTGTTGTAACAAAATTTGTTGTAATGTGTGGCACCTGCCTTTTAAATAAATATTATGTGTGTTTCAATGTACTCAATTTGTGTGTTAGTCATACATACTGAATTGACAGTAGAATGTCAGTTAATTTACCCTGAGAAATATATTAACCATATTTCCTTTGCTTGCTCATTATCTCTTAGTAAAAAATATGTAGGAAACCAATGTCATAATTGGGACTATTTTGGTCAGATTAGAATTACACTAAGATGAATCTGTTGTATAATTTTAATGACCAAAGACTTCATAGATAATGAAAGATGAATTTCAAAAACTGTGATATGAGTGGTATATAGATGAGAGATATCACAGCCCAGGGTATAGGCTCCCTTCCTCTTGATGACACCGGTTGTTCACTTTCAAGTTTTACTTTTCTTGCTGTTGTATTAACATTTTATTATCTGCTCATTTGCCCTAGTTGAAACAATGATCTCAAAGTAGGAGTCTCCTCACGCCTTAACTGTGCTCCTTGGGTTAACACTGTCTCTTGGGTTAACACAGTGTTAGGAGTTGGGTTAACTCCTCAGTTAAGGAGTGAGGGAATGAACAGAGAAAGAACAACACCCTAACGTTTTATTTTTACATTTGTTACGCAAAAACATACACAATGTCTAAATAATGTTGATTGCTGGGTCTTTTTAGAAACACAGCTGTGACCATACATTAGGAAACACCCCCGCCCCTGACAATTTCAAATAATAGTTTACAGGATGATTGCCTGAATAAAAAAGTGATTCTTATCATTTTTTGAAATAAATTTGAAGAATCCGTGCAATGTACCTTTAAATCATAATTTTCTCTAGTAAATTTAAGCACTTTACAAGGTGATCTTATTACTTGATGGAGCAATTGTATGAGATGGATTATTCAAGCTGGTGTTAGGAATTAGTTAAGTGATAATCAGACATAATATCAAATTCCTTGTGCTCCTCTAATAAAATCAGAGGTAAATAGATAATTCAATTCACAAAACATTGAATAAAACACAATATTTGAGAACTTCATCTGCTGTGTATAATAAGGTACATCTGTATTAGCAATGCTCTATTCACAGTTACCACCAAGCTATCTTCTAAAACACAAATAAACAAAATGTTAATTTAATGACTATTGCCTTTTCCTTGTGGACTGAGTAATTTAAAATGCATTACAATAGGTTTTATGTTTATTTGTTAATTAATTGCAAAATTGAACAGCTATTATGTATAAGACACTATATTGAGCAATAGAAAAAATAGTAAGACGTAATAAGACATAACACTAGTTAACATTTCTAGAGTACTTACCATAACTCAGCACTGTGCTATTAAGGTTTTTGCGTGACTTAGCTCATTTAGTCCCTTTAGAAGCCTAGAAATTTTGTCTCAGTGTTACTAACCATTAACAAGAAGTAAAATGAAAATACAGATAGTTTTAAATATAATGCAAACTTATATCCTTGTTTTTGCAGATTTGTATATCTGGTTTATGCCTGTTCTTCCTATGTAATTATTAATAGAACATCCTCTGCCTTTGAAGAATGTCCCTTGAATGATATTTTACATCGTTATCCCATTTAAATAACTTGCCCAAGGTCACACAGCTAGTTACTGGCAGAACTATTTCTTAAACCCAGATTTTCTGAAGCCAAAGCCTAAATTAAACCATCTCCCACAGCTAAGGAATACTTTTTAGTTTAATGTCTATATATGTGTGTGTGTGCACATGTGTGTGTATGTGTTTGTATTTTAATGGAACATCTTTCAAACCCAATATGTTCAAATGAAACTCAGCTTTCTTTCTAAACTTGTTCCATCTTCCTATATTCACTATCTTGAATGGCATGAATTACTTATGCTAGGAACATGAGAGTCATCCCAGAATAAAATCCTGTCTTTATTCATATTAAGCAGTGTCATCAAATTCTATCAATTTATTTCCCTTAAATATTTTCTTAAATCCTTTTTTTATTCTGCAGCACCAAAAATTCTTCCTTAAGTTGTGTATTAGGTAGAATGAACATGAGAAATTCCCATTCACTTGATCCTTCCAATTCTATCTTCTTTCCTAGGAATTCTTACTAACTCTTTGGTATTTCTTCTTCATAGACTATTTGTATACATTGATATTTGTGCAACCAGGATGTAGCATATGCAAGTTGATTTCTATCTTCCTTCCCAGGAATTCTTACTAACTCTTTGGTATTTATTCTTCATAGACTATTTGTATACATCGATATTTCTGCAACCAGGATGTAGCATATGCAAGTTGATTTGTAGTTCCAGTTTGAGTCTGACAACCATTGTTATAAGTGGTATAAGTTCCAGTTTGAAAGCCTTAAGGCTTGAGACCTAAAAAGAGCCATTATTTCTGTTTGAGTGCAAGGGCTGGAAGAGACTGATGCCCTACTCAAAGCAGTCAGACAAGAGGAGATTCCCCTTAGTTTTTTTATTCTATTCAGGTCATCAAGTAATTGGATGAGGCCCACCCACATTAGAGAGGTCAATCTGCTTTATCAATGTGATGATTAATTTTCTGTGTAACTTGACAGAGCTAAGGAATATCCAGGACAGCTAATGAGACATTATTTCTGAGTGTCTATTAAGGAGCTTCTGTAAGAGATTAGCACTTACATCAATAGACTGAGTGAGCAGGAACTCCCTCATCAATGCAGATGAGCATTATCCAATCTGTTGAGGATCCCAAAAAACTGGAAAAAATAAAGCAGAAGAAGAGATTAAAAAGTTATTCCCTTTACTGGAGCTGGGACATTCAACTTCTCCTAACAAGTTTATGGGACTTGTCAGGCTCCATAATTAAGTAAGCCAATCCCTTATAACAACTTTAAAAATGATCTCTGTATATATCATATTGGTTATGTTTATCGAGAGAACCTTAACTAATACACTTAGTTCAATGATTAAAATGTCAATATCATCCAGAAACACCCTCACAGATATATCTGGGATAATTTTTGGCTAAATATCCAGGGACCCCTTGGCCCAATCAAGTTGTTACATAATCGACACAGTATATGTTAGCCTTGGTCTCTTTTTTTAAGATTCCACACATAAAACATTCACATATGCACATACTGTACATATAGACATTAGTAAATATCAGATATTTACTAATAATCTAGTGATAATTTTGTAAGAGACATGGAGGAAAACATATATAATAATATCTATTACTAAAATATTATGAGTGTCTTTGATTTCATCTAAAATGCATAAATTTTCCCCTAACTTTATGTATTAGTCCATTTTCACACTGCTATAAAGAACTGCCTGAGACTGGGTAATTTATTAAGGAAACAAAGTTAATTGATACACAGCTCAGCATGACTGGAGAGGGCTCAGGAAACTCATGATTATGGTAGAAATCAAAGGGCAAACAAGTCACCATCTTCATAAGGCAGCAAGAAGAAGGATGAACACAAGAGGAACTACCAAACACTGATAAAACCATTAGATCATGAGAATTTACTCACTCTCATGAGAACAGCATGGGAGAAACCACCCCCATGATTCAATTACCTTCCAGGCCTCTGGGCCTGCACTGGGAGGAACTGCTGTGAAGACCCCTGACATGCCCTGGAGACATTTTCCCCATCATTATGGTAATTAACATTTGGCTTCTCATTACAGCCAGCTTGAATTTCTCCTCAAAAAATGGGTTTTTCTTTTATATCGCATAGTCAAGATGCAAATTTTTCAAATTTTTATGCTCTGCTTCCCTTTAAGTTGCAATTCCAAACCATCTATTTGTGAATGCATACAACTGAATGCTTTTAAGGGAGCCCAAGTCACCTCTTGAATGCTTTGCTGCCTAGTAATTTCTTCCACCAGACACCCTAAATCATCTCTCTCAAGCTCAAAGTTCCATAGATCTCTAGGACAGGGGCCAAATGCTGCCAGTCTCTTTGCTAAAGCATAGGAAAAGTCCCCTTTATTCCAGTTCCCAACAAATTCCTCATCTCTATATGAGACCATCTCAGTCTAGGCTTCATTGTCCATCACTATCAGCATTTTGGTCAAAGCCATTCAACAAGTCTCTAGGAAGTTCCAGATTTTCCCACATCTTCATGTCTTCTTCTGAGCCCTCCAAACTGTTCCAACCTCTGCCTCTTACCAAGTTCCAAAGTTGCTTCCACATTTTTGGATATCTTTACAGCAGTGCACTATTATCTCGATACCAATTTACTATATTAGTCCATTTTCCCACTGCTGTAAAGAACTTCCTGAGACTGGGTAATTTATAAAGAAAAGAGGTTGAATTGACTCACAGTTCAGCATGGCTGGGATCCTTTGGAAAACTTACAATCATGACAGAAGTCAAAGGGGGAAGCAAGGCATCTTCTTCACAAGGCAGCAGTAAACAGAATTGAAATGGTTTGGCTCTGTGTCTCCACCCAAATCTCATCTTGTAGCTCCCATAATTCCCATGTGTTGTGGGAGGAACCCAGTGGGAGATGATTCAGTCATGGGGGTGGGTCTTTCCTGAGCTGTTCTCATGATAGTGAATGAGTCTTACAAGATCTGATGGTTTTAAAATCATGAGTTTCTCTGCACAAGCTCTCACTTTGCCTGCTGCCATCCACGTAAGATGTAACTTGCTCCTCCTTTCCTTCTGCCATGATTGTGAGGCCTCCCTAGCCATGTGGAACTGTAAGTCCAATAAACCTCTTTCTTTTGTAAATTGCCCAGTCTTGGGTATGTCTTTATCAGCAATGTGAGAAGAGACTAATACAAGAATGAACACAGGAGGAACTACCCTTTATAAAACAATTAGATCTCATGAGAACTCACTCACTATCATGAGAACAGCGTGGGGGAAACCACTCCTATGATTCATTGACCTCTGCCTTGTCTCTCTCAATACATGGGGATTATGGGGATTACAATACAAGACAAGATTTTGGGTGGGGACATAGTCAAACTATATCTGTTTATATTTGTATTCTATTTGGAAATTATGTTGGTATTAGTGTTTTTGAAAATTTAATTAATATAGCTTAAATTTTGGAGAAGTCTTATATTTACAGAAAAATCAAGTAAAAAATACAGTTTGCAAATATTTCCTCACCTCCACCCCTACAAAATATAGGTTCCCCTATTCTTAATATCTTTCATGAGTGTAGTGTATTTGTTTAAATTGGTGAGCCAATATTGACTTATTAACCAAAATTTGTATTTTACATTAGAGTTCACATTTTGTGTTGTATAGACTATGGGTTTTGACAAATAGAGAATGACATGTGTCCACCAGTACAATATCATACAGAACAGCTTCACTGCCTGAAAAATTACCCTGTGTTCCTATTCATTCCTCCCTCATGCACTCTAAACCTCTAGAAATCACTGAAAGTTTTACAGTCTCCATAGCTTCATCTTTCCCAGGATTTCATATAGTTGGGATCAAACAGTAGGTGGCATTTTTAGATTGGCTTTTCTCACTTAGCATTATGCATTTAGGTTTCCTCCATATATTTTTGTGGCTTGATATCTCATTTTTAAATTACTGAATGATATTCAATTTTATGGATATAACACCATTTATCCTCACCTATAGAAGGACATCTTGATTGCTTCTACATTTTGACAATTATGAATAAAGTTGCTATAAACATTGTGGGTGAATTTTGGTGTGGTTATTAGTTTTCACCACATATGGGCAAAGATGAAAAGTTATGACTGCTGAATAATATGGTAAGAGTGTTTTTAGTTTTGTAAGAAACTGTCAAACTGTCTTTTAAAGCGGTTATAGCATTTTGCATTCTCATCGGGAAAGAATGAATGTTACTTTTGCTTTACATCCACTCTGACATTTGGTATTATCTTTTGAATTTTACCCATTCTAATAGGTAAACAGAGGTATCTCAGATTTTAATTTGCAGTTCCCAAATGGCATATAATTTTGAGGCATTTGCTTGATTGTCATCTGCATATTTTCTTTGGTAAAGGGTTGGTCAGATCTTTTGTCCATTAGGAATTGTTTTGTTTTATTTTATTGTTTCCCTTAATAATTATTTATATATTTGGAATCCAATACCTCTATCAGATAATTATGTTGAAAATTGCCTCCTCAATCCGTGGCTTCTCTTTTCATTCTTTTAACGTATCTTGCACAGTTCAGAAGTTTTTAATTTTAATAAAATTCAGCTATTCAAGTTTGTCTTTCATGGATCATGCATTTGTTGTGCCTAAAAAGCCATTGTAAAACCCATGGTCATCTGGGAATGTTATAGTTTTAAGTTTTACATTGGGGCCTATAATCCATTTTGAACTAATTTTCATGAAAAGTCTGTGTCTAGATTAATATTTTATATTTGGATGTTCATTAGTTCCATCACTGTTTGTTCAAAAGCTATTATTCTTCATCGAATTGCCTTTTGCTCCTTTGTCAGAGATTAGCTATCTCTATTTGCATAGGTCTACTTCGAGGATCTCTGTTCTGTTTCATTGATCTGCCTGTGTGTTTCCACCAATATCACACTGTCGTGATTGGTGTAGCTTTATAATACACCTTGAAGTCAGGTTGTGTTGTTTCTCTAACTCTGTTTTTCTCTTTCAAAACTATGTTTGCTCTCTGGATCACTTGCCTCTCCATATAAATTTTCAAATCCGCTTGTCAGTATTCACAGAATAACTTGGGATTTTGATTGAGATTGCATGAATCTATAAAGTTGGGAAGAAATGATGCCTTGACAATATTGAGTCTTTCATCAATATACATAGAATATCTTTCCGTTTATTTAGATATATCTGATGCACTTTATCAGAATTTTGTAGTTTTCCTCATATAGGCATTGTACACATTTTGTTAGATTTTTTACCCAAGTATTTCATTTTCTTGGATCTTATGTCAATAGCATCATGTTTTTATTTTTAAATTCTAATTTTTCGTTACTGGCACATAAGAAACCTACCAACTTTTTAAAATTAACTGTTTATCTTGCAAACTTGCTATATTCACATATAGTTTCAGAAGGGTTTTTTGTTGATTCTTTCACATTTTCTACATAGGCAATCATATCATCTGTGAACAAAGACAGTTTTATTCTTTTCTTCCCAATCTGTATTTTTAAAAGTTTCTATTTCTTATTTCATTAGTTAAGTGTACCAGTAGAATGTTAAGTAGAAGTTTTGAAAGAGGATATTCTTACCTTGCTCTTCATCTTCATGTGAACGCACCTAGTTTCTCACCATTAAGTACGTTAAGCATGTTAGCGCTAGTTGTTTTTATTTGTTTGTTTATTATTTTGTAGATGTTTTTTAAGTTGAAGAATTCCTCTTTCCTCTTTGTTCATAATTTGCTAAGTATTTTCATGATGACCAACTGGTGCATTTTGTCACATTCCTTTCCTCTATTTATTGATATAATCATATATATTTTTCTTCTATAGCTGTTGATGTGATGAATTACATTAATTAGCTTTTGAATATTGATGCAGAATTGAGTATATGAAATAAATCCCACTTTGCTGTAGTGTATACTTTTAGTACATTGTTGGATTCAATTTGCTAGTATTTTGTTGAGAGTACAAGTTTCTGAACAGGAATTTATTTCCCGGTTTCCAAATTTCTAACAATTTTTCTTGGCTTCTTAAGAAATCATTATAATACACCTAATCTATTGCTATAGTTGATACCTGGGCTCTCCGGTTAGCATTATTTTTTTCATTCATGTCTTTTTGACGTAGCTTCATAATATGCTTTGATATATATCAAGTCACTTCTAATAGTCTAAAATTATTCTAATAGCACTTGTACATACTCTTACAAAGGAAACTTTTAGTCAGATTATCATATTCTATGAAAATTCCACTTAAATATTCATCGGTATGTCCTAGAATTTAGAGATTAATACTGGTAAACCAATGCTTATAAGATATTAAAACTGTATATTAAGGACAATGAAATATTTTAAACATTTTTATCTTATGTCCCTCAAATATTATTTACAATTTTTTAAAAAATATTATCTAAGTTTCTTTCTAGCATTTAAAATACATTTAAAAAATATATTTTCAGTTTTGTTTAATATTTTGATAGGATTTTTTTCTGGTACTTTAAGTGTTAATTCTTCATGTATAGATAATGCTCAGTACAGACTTTTAGGGAGGGAAGCCAAATATTTAAGAATCAATGGAAATCTTATCTTTTCTATATCATGTTTTACAAGCACTAACACTGTCTTGTTAGTTTTCTGTTTAAAATCTCTGAATCGTGTCCTATCATCTAAAGGATAAAATAATAGAATGTCATTGAAGCACCACATTATCAGACATTTTCTTACCTCTGCAATTTAATCTCTTGTCTCCTAAATTATTTTAGCTTAACTTATCAGTTTCACTCAGGCCTCTATTAAATTGCGCATAGAGTCTCATCTATCAGGAAAACACATCCTTTCCTTCTGGGCTTTTTGTAATAAAGTATCATCCATTCTCAAAAAAAATTCTAATATCTTCCTACAGGTTAATATTTCCCATCTTCTCATCTCTATTGAACATATCTTAGCATTATCCTACATGTAATTTTCTCGTATTCCCTTCTTACGCTCTTCTTAAAAGATTGTCTTGGCAGTCCTATGAAATTTAGCAATTTTGCTAATTTTTTATGACAGAACCTTGTCTTTCTCTATTTTCAAAATCTACCATTATGCCCTGACCTCTACAGTTATTCCAACAAAACACCATTTCTTAAAGTCTGATTTACAAGTCAATGTTTTGCCCTGAAATCCTCCAGGTAATGTCTAAATAGATCTGCTTTACACTTGTATTTTCTAATACAAAAATACTTACACCAATTTTTAGCTCTGGTAGGATTTTATAATTTGCTGAAGAATATTGTTACTTATTTTAAAGGTGTTCTCCCCTTTATTAAAGTTTGTTGGGACTATAAAGAAGGAAGTTGATTAGTACAGATCAGCATAAAATAATTTTGTTCCTTGACACAATCTTTAGAACAAAATAGATAATTACTAGTTTAGAGGAATATACATTTAAAGAAGGAATATATGTGCCTTGTGAATATGTCTTATACATATATGTACAAATGGACCTTATTATCTTAATGAAATGTATGAAAGATAGTTCATAAAAACCATACAAATTCTTGGTTTCAGGTCATTTTTTAATTGTGATAAAGTATTAATATAATTCATTACGTTTGTTATTGTCCAATAGTGAATTGTTTTTTGCATTAATTGGATTCAGAAGCTTTCTTGGCAAGAAAAAACAAATCAAGCTGGCACTATAGCTGTTTTCCTTGACTAAAATAATGCTTAACAAATTACTTAGAAGCTTGAAGGCCAAAACATACAGGTACAATTAACATATCAAATAATTATATTGCTCCACAATTTATAGAAATAAGAGGAAAAGAACTTTTGTTCTTTTGTTTTTCTTTTTACCTCATCTGTAAATTGTACCAATGTTTTAAAACAATTTTTATCTCAGATTTTAAAAACAACTCAAAACTTAAAAGTATTTTGGTTTTTGTAAGCATTTCTCCAAATGGTGATTGTTTTGTTTACCTACAATTTCAATATTTTTAGATTGATGTTCACATTCTTCCAGTAAAAAATTAAATAAAATAGTACCAATTGACAAGGTATGTTTGTTTCATATTTTCTTCCATAGCCCTCTTTTCTAAATGTAGCTATGTTCAGAGAAAAGAGATAATTCTTGAACTGTTTATAGAATAAGTACTAATATTCATAAAATCAATTTGATTTTCTTCTTTTTATGTAGTATGTAATTTTTTCAGTAAATAATCAAAAATATAATTTCATAGGTCAATTACCAAATAAAATGATTTTGTCATTCTGTAGGCACACATCTTGAAACTACACCTGTAACCTTGGCAGAGTTACCCATATTTGACACTTGTAGCAGCGCAATTAATTTATGACATTCAGCACACTATCAACATGCTCTGACTAAAAATCCAAGCAAATTTCTTAAATAGACAAATTTACTCTGATTTCTGAAAACCTCTAGCCACTTACATGCACTACATATAATTGCAAAGCCATAATGAAATTCAGCATTTCATTATAAAATTCACTTTGAATTTCAGTATTGAAATACTGAATTTCACTTTGAAATTATTTGAACTTTATTATTTTAATGAAATGTATGAAAGTTCAGAAAATATTATGGATGAAATTACATCCATATTATTTTCTTCCTCAAATTGGAGAGCTGAGACCTGCTATTTTCATGAGCTCAGTGCCAGTATTGATTGACAGGCCATGCCAAAAAACAAGTATCATTCTATTCTCTACTACAGGTGACTAGACCACATAAGTATTGTGTATTATATATAAAATTTTAAAAACTATTAGAAATTGTTTTTCATAACAGGACTTGTCTATTTCAAATCTGTTTGTTGAAATTATATCACATATTTTGAGAATATACTACATGGTAAACAATGAGTTATATAAACTAATGATTTTTCTCCATGAGTGGCAGATTCATTTACATTAATAAATTATCCAAAAAATAGCACTGTCCTTCAAATGTGCAAACTCAAAACTATGCAAATTGAACTTACATACACTTAAGATAAAATATTCTTTAAATAACTGAGAATGTTCATAATTATTATTTTCCTTCTAAAGATTAAAAAAGAGTTCTACTTTGCCAAGGAAGATACTATCTTACATAAACAGCAAAGAATAGGGTATATTTAATCACGGTATATAAAATTAATACTATGTCATAACAATAATCTAAGAGATGGAATTATTGGTAAAAGTTGTTAAAATTATTATATTTTTATTCAGCAGTTATCCAGGACTATTTAGTAGTAATACTTAACACACCTTGAATATTTAGTATATATCATATAAACATGCTGTTTGGTGGGACAAAAATAGTTGACATTGAGAAATATTGTATGGTTCAAACCAATATTTATGTCACTTAAAACTTTTGTTAGAAAATATTATTGTAACAATACATAGATGAGGATACTGACATATCATTGAATATGGAATATGCTCGAAATCAAACAGTGAATGGTGGAACCAGGAAGGGAACCTTTATCTGTCCAAAGCTGAACCACTGTGTTATACTGTCGCTAATTAGATGAAGCAGTTTGGTATGACAGAAAAAAAATGCCCTGTACTGAGTTATAAGACTGCTATTTGTGTTACAGTTCTGCTCCTGGCCCAGTGATCATTAACAAATCATTTAAACTTTATAACTTTCAGTTTTCTAACTATCATGTGGGGATAATTACACTTGTGTTCTCTACTTCACAGACATAAAAATGAAGTGCAAACTTCAAACTAAAGTATATGAATTGTATAGGCAGAGTAAATAAACTGAATGGGATGAGAATAATTTGGGCAAAAAAAAATCAGTAGTAAAGAAAGGAGGTTAGGAGAATCCTTCTGAGGATAATGCAAGCAGAAATTGAAAGTGTGGTAGTCATATAACATTCAGTTTATTTGAGATTTGGAGAGCAAAATGCTTGAACTTTTTCTTAAGTTCAATATGAAAGACAGCATTACAAAGAAGTGTGTGTGGTAGGATAAAAGGTTTTTTTCCTCCACTTTCAAACAGAACAGGTTTAGAGCAGTGAATACATGGCTGAGTAGCATTTTAAGGAAAATAAATAAGAAAAATCCCTGAATGTAGCATCAGTAATTGCAATACACATTTCTCAAGGAGCAGGAAAGAAATACCGTAACTATAATACAGAGATCAAGCAGAATGGTACTGGGGTGGTAGATCTCTCCATAGCAGGAAGGAAAATGCCAGAAAATACAATGATCAAAATGAAGGAATGTATTTGAATTATTTACATCTCCAACGTATCCAATTATCAGAAGCCATTTTAAGCTTGTGCAGTTAAAAGGTGAAACTTATAATTGATATAGGAGATCAGAATATGACATCCCAAAATATGCCACTTTAGCATAAGAATTATTATGAATTAAAGGAAAATGACAATTAAACACATGGAAAGCTCTCTGCCTTCTCCCTGTTTGCCTAAAAGCAGGACATAAATTTACGAAAGCAAAAGGATGCCTCCTTACCTCTCTACCAGGAAGAAAAAAGGTTGACCCACTGAAGACAACTTTAGACCCTTTCAATTAGAGACCAAAGGAATCTACATTAGCAAACTTTGCTAACTCCTATTCTCAAATTTGCTGTCCCTAGAGATTCAAAGTTCTTTTAATTTGTCTTATCACTTCTCTAAAACTTTACCGTTTTTTGTTGAAGATGCTATATAAGCTAAAATTCAAAACCACCTCTTTTAGAATTATTCATTTCTTTGGTATCTTCCATGTATATGTGAAGTACACAGGGTAGTAAATTTGTCTCTTTTTTTTCTCTTGGTAATTTGTCTTTTGTTACAAGGGTTCATCTCAGATAAGAAGTATGAAGGATAAAGAGAAAATTGGTTTTGTCTTACCTACGTCACCATGGTATCCCATGAAATTCAAGGAAAAAACAAACACAAGCAAACATAACCTAATAAAACAAATGCATTCAAAGTCACTTTGAGAAGAGGAAAAAGAATCAAACTTTTGGCAGACAAAAGATAAAACCCAAAATAATGAAAGAGAACTGTTACTTGACTCTCCCACATAATTAAAAGAGCATTTTCAGTTATGAATTAAACATTTAAATATCAAAGATAGAAACAAACAATAGTAAGATTAGAAATGGAATCTAAACTCTGAAGAAGCTGAAGAAAACAATTATATCACCTCAGAATTTAAAAACAAAGCTGCCAAGTATAGTACAACTTACTATACAAAATAGTATGATAGAAGCTAGGAAAGAATAAAGCCAACACCATGAAAATAGGGCATAAAAGAGATGAAATGAAACAGAGAAAAGGATAGTCAAAAAAAAATACCCCACTCTCCAAAATGACCAGAATACTTAAAGCAAAACTTCTAGATAATTTTCATAAAAGAAAAGACATCCCCAACATGCATATTAAAATGACACCTATGTTCTTTGTAAAACTGACTCAGAATAGTTCATACCTTAGACATACTGCTGAGCTTAGGAAAAAGTTATAAATGAGCAGTAACGTGAGGAAATACTATACAAATACAACCTTTTAAGGAGTCAACTAATGGATGCCTTTTATTCAATGAAGAGTTGAATGGGAAAACTTAAAATAACTATAAGTGAGTATGAGTCACTGGGTAAATGAAAATCCAGGAGTTCACAGTGATCATATAAAGACATGAGAAGGCAGGAAGAGAAGGGGAAAAGGATGAAGAGAAAAAGGAGGAGGGGGAAAGGAGGAGAAAGAAAATGAAAACAAGATTTGCTGCCATTAGAGGTTAGTATTATTCTAAGAATTTAACATAAAAATAGGTAATGGAAAAATATAAGCATTAACTATTCCTTTTTACAAAGACCTGTATTACTTTCCCAGCAAATGAGAGAGGAAATTACACAGAAGAATGCCAAGTAATATATGTAGAACAAATGATTGAATTAGAAAAACCACCATTTTGCAAACTCTAATCAAATAATTGGTACAAGTAAGAATCACAAATAGATGTTACATCTATTAATTTTGGGGAACAGGAAAATTTTAAGGTGAAAAGGTTAAGCAGCAAAAGCTACTTGCTAAGATCCACAGAAAAACTTATCTTTGAAATGAACACATTTTATGATCATTTTCTTAGGCAAGGAAATTAATATCACTAATAGTGAGACAACATGATATTATCATATGTGCTCATCAATGTGAATTATTAAGTGATCTTTAAAACAATCTCACAAAAAGTTTAATCAGCATCTAACCTAGCCTTTATGTCTATCATCGAATTTAGAGGAACTAAAGGAATAGTGTGGAAGACACAAAGAGGAAATAATCAGACAAATAAAAATTATTCTGTAGGAAAAATTGTCCAGTTTTCTTGTATAAATGTCATGAAAAAATAAAGTGAAGCAATTGCTTTAGAACAAAAGTGACTGAAGAACAAACAATAACCTATCAGTTTGTTGACTCTCATCCTGACATGTATCTGGCCAGGCCAATAGGTGAGGCAATTATGTTTAG
The DNA here is from genome assembly GCF_000001405.40 of Homo sapiens. NCBI lineage: Eukaryota > Metazoa > Chordata > Mammalia > Primates > Hominidae > Homo > Homo sapiens. Next base: position 54,959,946 of record NC_000010.11, read on the forward strand.
AGACAATGCACACAGAAAGGCTGGGAAAGATCATAGTAGTAGTAATAGCCTTTTGGTCTTTGAAAATTTGTAGTTTACTTCTTTTGACTCAAATTTGAAGCGTCCAGTCTTATGACCTTTATTCTTCTTTTATTCTACTTCACCTGGAAAATGCTTTATTCTTGTATTTAATAGAATGCTTGAATATGAATGACATTCTAGTCTGTATTTTTATATCAAACCTCTCACCTGAACATCACTAGATTCTAACATCTCTGTCAGTGACTATCTAGGCAATCTTTGCCCAATAATTCAAGTTGTGCCTTAGTGTGATTACATATAATATAGAAATAAAAATACCAGGCTGACTTACCTCAAGAGTCTATTCTAATAAGCTAATAAGAAAATATATGAGAAGTTCTAAAAGCTGTGAAATAATGTGCTTATGATAATTTGCTTAGTCTTCCCTCAGGTGTATGGATATATAAATTCCCTTCATTGAGGTGGGCAGTATTTCACAAAGGTGCCTATAGGCACACTACCTCCATAGAGAGCTAATAAAAAAACTAATACTCTTGAACTTTCTACCAATGCTATTTTCTTGAGTTCCCATGTGATTTATGGGCCTGATTTCAGTCAATATGTCCATAATAAAAAAAGATTAAGTAACACCCAGTCCTTGTTTTCCATAAGTAAATTAATCAATTTTAAAATGTCTTTTCTCAACCCAATATTAAGAAGGTCAAAAGCTTCTTTTACAAAAATAATAATATGGTTGAAATTTGTACCTATAGTAGAAATAGATGACTGAATGCTTTTTTATAAGCTTTGCTCCTTTAAAATAATTTTAGTTATCATAAAATTTAAAAGATACATTGAGCCAATTTTCCTAGGCATGTACAGAAAGATAGTAATATATCTACAAGTGTACAACGTAGGCTGGTGTATTCCAGAATAACAGATTCTGATAACAGATCAGAGAACATCCTATAACACATAGGCACACAAACTGCAGGCCAATCACAAGGAAATTAAAAACAGGCCTATTCTGATGCTATGTTGTGCTTAAAACAAATCAATGCAAAGGCAATAACAATAAGAAAGAATTTAATAAAAGTATTTAGAACACTGCAGGAAAAATATATATCAAATTGATGGTTGTGACTGCCCGTCTGGAGCAGCCACTACAGTGATGCCAGCTGCAGTGTTGGAGGAGCAGACAGGGGTGCATGCTCCCTTGTGCCCGCTCCAGTGTGGAGCAAATTTGTGGCTGAGCCAGGGTGCTGCTGTGACCTGGCCAGTTGTGCACACACTCCAGGCAGCACTGACATTCTAGCCCCCTGCCACCATGGCACCCTCCAGACTTTGGGTGCTGACGAGTGTGGGAGGGAGGCTGGGGACTGAGGGTGACTCAGTACCAGCCTGCAGGAACCCCTCCACATGAACATCCTGGGTGCTATGGATGGCATGTTGATGGTGGCGAGAGGCAGGTTTTTAGGTGGGAATAGGCAGGTTTTCAGTGAAGCCCCACCTTCAAGCCAGGAATGGCTTGAGGCCTAGGGGCTAGGCTACCAGTTCTGGAGTGGGAACTTATGCTGATTTTTCCAGGCCCACCCATGGCTGCCCATGGACCAATCAGCATGCACTTCCTCCCTTCTGAGACCATAAAAACCCCAGCCAGACTCAGACATTCTTCAGGGTGACCTGCCTGCTGGAAGGAGCTACCCACTTCGGGATTCCTCTACAATCTTCCAGACAACTGCCTGCAGTTAGAAGCTACCCACTTTGGGTCTCCTCTGTACTCTTTGGGATGACCTGCCTGCAGAAAGGTCCTAATCACTTTCGGTCTCCTCTACTCTCACTGGGACAACCTGCCTGCAGATAAGAGGTACCTTTGGGTCTCCTCTACACTCTTTGGGATGACCTGTCTGCAGATAGGAACTACTCACTTCGGGTCTTCTCTACTTTCACTGGGATGACCTGCCTGGAGATATGAGTTGCCCACTTTGGGTCTCCTCTACACTCATTGGGATGATATGCCTACAGATAGGAGCAACCTACCTTGGGTCTCCTCTCTGATGAGAGCTGTTCTGTCACTCAATAAAGCTCCTCTCCACTTCGCTTACCCTCCAGTTGTCCACATAACCTCATTCTTCCTGGATGTGGGACAAGAATTTGGGATCCACTGAATGGTGGGAGTGAAAGGAGCTGTAACACTTGCCTGGGCAGCTCGTTGAGCTGCAGGCAGTGACATGCTCCTGGACTGTAGGAGTGAAGAGTGGTGACGTTTCTGGGAGCCCAGACCTTGGTATTCCCTAAGACAGAGCTGCTGTAACACTACAGTCCTGCTGCTCTCTGCTGGCACTGGGCAGCCACCCCACGTGATGGGAAGCAGTGGTGGGACTGGACCAGCCCAGGAACTGTGGGCCAGAGCAGGGTGGTGGGACTGAAAGAGCTGTAACATAAATGGGCTGAAACATATCTCCCCCCATTTGCCACACAACAGGCGATGAGAAGGAGAGAAGAGCTGGTGCCCTTCTGGGAGCCCAGACCTTGGGGCTCCCTGAACCAGGGCTGTGATATATTGTGACACTTTTGGGGGCTCTGTGGTTCCTGGCATCTTCAAGATTTTGGGTACCACAGTGTTCCCCTCATCTAGACACAGCTGACAACAGTGGGAGCTACTTGCTGTACATTGGGTCAAGCCATGGCCTCACACAGAACTGGCACCTGTGCCGGCTCCTGGAGCTGCCTGCCTTGCCACAGCAGCTGGGTTGCTTGACTGTGCACTGTGGCTGGACTCCTTGCTTGCTCATTCACACACCCCTCTCTACTCCACTCCTGGCTAACCTTTAGCAGGCATGGGATCCGGGATGGTACTGCCAGCCAAGAACAGCCTGCTGGGCCAAGTGGGTGGAATGAGCCCAGAAGGCATGAGAAATACTCAGGAAGAAGGCACCACCAAAGACAAAGGTTTCTGGCTAGTGAAGCAACACCTGAAGGATCCTGTGACAGAACTGAACTCTGTTTATGAAAAATGCGTACTTGAAAATCTGAGAAGATACAGGCTTGACTACTAAATTCCAGGTCAAGTACATCTAACTATAACACATCTAATTTCATGTCATAAATCTCTACGTAGAAGGTTTTAGTTAAATACAAGGGTTTTTTGTTGTTGTTTCTACAGTGATTATCAGGTGCTTTATGAAATAGTTTTTCTGACATTTAAGGAAAATGGTGAGTCCCATGGCCCAGTAAATCAAACTAGTATTTCTCATCCTTTCTTTCCTTAGCTGCTACCATAATTCTAGTCTTCAGTTCCACTGGCTGTAGGTAATAAAGGCAATTCTTCCTGGAAGGTGTCAGTGGCAAAAGAAGGATAGAATATCTGCTTAACTGACATAAAATGTGTTTTTTTTTTTTTACTATTTTAATGGAAATAGATTGGGTTGAACCCCTTATCCCACATTCTCACTAAAATATCTGTATATTTTACATCTCAGTAACATTTTACCTCCCGTATTTTTGTTTCATTGTTTTTCTGTAGCAACTCTTCGTGTAAATTAACCAGTGTTCATGGGTTTTCCCTGAAACAATTCACTTGACTGAAGATGTTAAGATGATAAGTTTGTTTCATCATGCAGCATAATACAAATGTAAAGGTGAATATTAGGCAACACTGTATTTAAAAATCCTTTAGCTTCCAACTGAAAGTTATCACCAGCCACCATTTTGCAAGATCCTAACCTGGTTATTTTGCTAGAACTCCCCTTTTCAACTTAATTCTCTTTCAATTTTCCTATACAGACCACTTTATCTCTGTACACTGTATTCTTTTGGATGTAGTCCTTCATTAATGTGTTTGCAAAATCAAATGCCCCAATACAATTCCAGGGTGTTGTTCTAGGTCCCATTTCTCACCAAACAGAAAGGCAATCACTGTGACAAAAATTGCCAGGGAAGAAATCTTTACTTGGATGCTACAGCTGAGACAATGGTGATGGGAGGTCAATCTCAAATCCATCTCCTGAAGAGGCTAAAACTAGGGAAGGAATGTAACTACATGTGGGGAAAAAAGAATTAGGGACAGGTAAGGAAGAGGAGTTGGCAACAGGAAGCAGGTGGTCAGTTAGGCCATCAAGACTAGTGAGGCGTCTTGTGTCTCATTGTTCAGATATGGTGATCTGGTCAGTTTCATTTTCTTGGTACTATCTGGAAGCCCTGACGGTTGGTTTCCTAAGAAAAGAACTTAGATAAGACAAATGGAACTTTTTCAAGTTTTAAGGCTGGCTGAGTCAATTTCTATGTTTATTCAAAAGAAACCATAAACATTAGTTCGGTGGGGCAATTGGGCTAGTTTCAATACCAGGACTAAACATTGCCAGAAGAACTGGCAAATATTTTGGAATGTAAGTACATTTTTGACCCTAAGTCCCCAAACACTTAGAAAGTAGCAGTGACTTTAATCACTTTTCATATAATTATCCTTACTCTCCTATTATAAGAATATTTCCTGCCAATTTTGTAGGAGGAAACTGTATCAGCCTGGAAAAATATGGTTTTTCTGTGATCCCTCTGATCTCATGTGCTCATTACTGGAGTACATATTCTCAAAATTGTATAAAGTGTGTGGTCCCATTGTTTCCCCAACAAGATCCAGATATGAAGACAACCTGTTCCCTTTCCATCTATCACACTGTGAATATTCAAAAACCTATAAGATCCTTAAAACATTTAGAAGACAAAATTATGTTAATAATATCACTGATAGCGTTTGCAAGGGAACTCTAGGAAGTAAGAGGCCATTTTCCCTGGGGCTTAAAATTACATTATTTTTATGTAGAGGTCAAGTTCTGAAAGGCAATAAAGCTTTTAATTACAATTCCCCTGAACCACAAGGTGGAAAAAGGTATAACTGCCTCAGAGACCACTAGGAAGGCACTAATGAATGATAATGTATTCTCAGCAGTCAGAAAGAGCAGCCAACTCTGAGATAATGTGTTACAACTTCTGTAGCTTTTGCAAACACATAGGAAAGGTTTTGTTAATTTGTAGAATACTTGAAGTACCATTTTAAATATATTTGATAAATTACATTTTACTAGAGATCTGACACAAGAGAATATTAGCTATAAGCTGCATATTAAGTATGTACATATTAATCTAAGCATAATCACTGTAAGTTCTGACCCATTCATGGGCAAGGAATGAAGTTACTGCTTTTTGAACAAAATACAATATTTTGCAAGTAAGGTAGAAGGTAAGGTAGTATAATTACCAATATGTATCTCACATAGTGGCATGGTTTGGTTGTGGCCCCACCCAAATCTCATCTTGAATTGTAGCTCCCATTATCCACAAGTGTCATGGGAAGGAACCAGTGGGAGGTAACTGAATCATGGGGGTGGATTTTCCCCACGCTATTCTCATGACAGTGAATAAGTCTCATGAGATCTGATGGTTTTATAAAGGGCAGTTTTCCTGCACACATTCTTCTGCCTGCTTCCATGTAAGACGCGTCTTTGCTCCTCCTTGACCTTCTGCCATGATTGTGAGGCCTCTACAGCCATGTGAAACTGTGAATCCATTAAAACTGTTTATAAATTACTCAGTCTTAGTGGTTTCTTCATAACAGTATGAAAATGGACTAATATGCATAGTATGGTTTTGTGAAACTTTGCTTCATATATATATATATATATATATATATATATGTTGGGTATATGTGGATTAGCTTGCTATGTCTTTGAAAAGCCACATTAATTTTTTTTCATAAGAAAACCACATTTAATTTGAAACATTTCCTCACTGGGGTAATCCTGATTAAAAACAACCTTTTCTGTGAATCTAAAATAAAATAAACTAATTAATATGAAAACACATAGCTTAACTCTTCATGTAGTTTACTCATGAAAAACAATACCAAAATCATTAATATCACATAGATACCCACACACTCATATATATGCACACATATAATATATTATGTAAGTGTATATTATATATGCAGCACATATTATATAATACATAATTATATAATAGACCTTATATAATAAATGCATATTAGATATTCATTTATTGTACACACATAAATATATCATATATATTAGTATTAAATGGGAACAAGTAAAACTGAAATATAAATCACTAATCATACAGAATATTCTATAGGAACATGGTCAACAGCATTCAAGTAACTACTTAGACTTCAGTTTTGCTGAATTGAGAATGCAGGCTAAGAACAGAAGCTGGATTACTAAGTAATTTTTTTAAAAAAATATTGTTTTCAGCATGGTAGGGAGAAAAGATAGCAGCAAGGTAAAAAAAATCTGGAAAGAATAGCTAGTTTCTGTTTTTGTTTATTTATTTTATTTTATTTTTATAGCTTTATCAAGCCATAATTGACATAGAGTCATGCACTCCTTAAACATGGGGATATATTCTGAGAAACGTATGGTTAGGTGATTTGTTCACTGAACATCCTAGAATGCACTTACATAAACCTAGATGGTATATCCTACTGCATATCTAGGTTACATGGTATAGCCTATTGCTTCTAGGCTACCAACTTATACAGTATGTTACTCTACTGAATACTATAGGCAATTATAACAAAATGGTAAGTAATAATGGTTTGGCTGTGTACCCACCCAAATCTCATCTTGAATTACAGCTCCCATAATTCCCACTTGTTGTGGGAGAGGCACAGTGGGAGATCATTGAATCATGGGGGCAGTTTCTCCCATACTGTTCTCATGGTAGTGAATAAGTCTCATGAGATCTGATGTTTTTATAAGTGGTTTCCCCTTTCACTTGGCTTTCATTCTCTTTCCTGCTGCCATGAAAGACATGCCTTTCATCTTCCACCATGATTGTGAGGCCTTCCCAGCCACGTGGAACTGTGAGTCCATGTTACCTGTGTTTTCTTTATAAATTACCCAGCCTCAGGTATATCTTTATCAGCAGCATGAAAATGAACTAATACAGTAAGTAGTTGTGTATCTAAAAATATCTAAACATAGAAAAGGTCCAGTAAAAATTCACTATGAAAGATAAAAAATGGTACACCTGTATAGGGCAATTACCATGAGTGCAGGCTGCAGGACTGGTGTTACTTTGGATGAGTCTGTGAGTGATGAGTGAATGTGAAGGCCTAGGACATCACTATTACTCAGCTTTAGACTTTATAAATGCTGTATATTTAGTCTACACTAAATGTATAAAAAAACTACAATGTTACAGTGGCTACAAAGTCACTAGGCTATAGGAATTTTTGAGCTCCACTATAATCTTATGGGATCAACTTCATATATGTGGTGAGTCATTGACTGAAACATTACATTATGCATAACTGTGTATTAAATTGCACATATTTTAAGAGTACCACTGGATAGGTGTTGAGATACACACATGCACACACACATGAAACCATCACCACCATCAAGGTAATTGAAGTAATCATCAGCTCCAAAGTTTCCTTGTACTCCTTTGTAATTCCTCTTTCCCTTTCTTTTGCCAATGTAACAGTATTGATTTTTTTATAATTACATATAAATAAAAGTATAAATTATGTATATTTTGGCTTCTTTCACTTAACATAATTATTGGGAGGCTAATTTACACTTGTGTAGAAATATCCAGCTCATATATTTTACTTCTGAGTAGTATTCCATTGTATTTCTTTACCTGATGATAGATATTTGGGTTGTTTCCATTTTCTGGGTATTACAAATAAAATTGTTATGAACCTTCCTATATAAGCTGTGTTAGTTTTCCAGGGATGCTATAACAAAATACTGCAGACTGAATGCTTTGAATAACAGAAATGTATTTCCTTACAGTTCTGGAGTCTAGAAGCTCAAGACCATGGTGGGAGCAGTTGTGATTTTTTCTGAGGCCTATTTCCTCAACTTGGGGACAGTTATCTTTTTGCTGTGTCCTCACATGGACTTTCTTCTGTGTGTGCACCTCACTGGCATCACCCTATGTGCTCAGTGTCCTCATAGAACACAACAGTCAAATTTAAGTAGGATCTACCCTAATGCCTTCATTTTACCTTGTCTCCAAATACAGTCAGACTCTAAGGTATTGGGGGTTATAGTTTTAACATACGCATTTTGGGGAGTCACAACACAACCTATAACATAACCATTTATGACCATTTGCATTATTTCTTACACTTATACATACATATAGGAATGGAAAGCCTGGGCTTAATGGTAGACGTATATATGTACATAACTGTTCATTAAACTGCTAATCTGTATTCCAACGTGGCATATTATTTCCACCAGCATCCCACTGTCTACTTATTATATCAATTAGTAAGAGACAGGAGTAGAAATGTTCAATGCAAAATTTGGCTTTGTCATTGTTTCCCTGCAGTTCTAACAGATGTTGTTTCATTATTGTTAACATGGTATATAATTTCATATCCTTTTATTACAATCTATTTGTCTTGGTATTCACCTTCATTTTTGAAAGATATTTTTACAGACTATGGTTTATAGATTGACATTTTTTTTTTCTTTTCAGGATTCTAAAAATGCTTCTTGGCAGTCTCCTACCTTGTATTGTTCCAGATGAGACATCTGCTGTTGTCTTTGACTGCTTTATTCAGACTGCTTTTAAGTTTTAACTTTTATCTTTGGCTTTGAAAATTTTTATTATGATGTGTCTTACTGAAGTTTTCTTCATGTTTTTCTCATGCTTGGGATTTGTTGAGCTTCTTGAATCTGCCCGTGTGTAGAGTCTGTCGAATCTGGAAATTTGCAGCCATTGTGTCATAAAATACTTTCCCTTCCTCTTTCAAGAATATCAATCACACATAGCCATTTGACATTGTCCCATAGCTCATGGATGCTCTGTTTATTTTGGCTTAGTTTATTTTTTCTCTGTGTGTTTCATTTCAGATAGTTTTTATTGTTCTATCTTCAACATCTCTAGCCTTTTCTTCAAACGTGTTTATTTTTTTGTTAATCTGTTAATCCTATCCAGTATATTTTTCATATTAGACATTGCATTCCTTTTTCATATATTCCATGGCTCTATTTATCATGCTCATAATTTATCTTCATGTACATTTAGAATGTAATAACATTTTATTGTCCTTGCTATTAATTCTATCATATCTGTAACTCTGAGGTCTGTTTCTATTATTTTTTTTTTTACTACTTAATGGGTCACAATTTCTTGCTTTTTAAAATACCTAGTAATGTTTCATTGGAATATTAGACATTATACATTTTACCTGGTTACATGATAAATGTCTTTCTGTTTCTTCAGATATTCTTGAATGTTGTGCTAGGAGAGAGGCACATTACTTGGAAGCAGTGTGATCCTTTTTGGTATGGCTTTTTTTATTTATAAGCTGTGTTAAGAGCAGAACTCAGTAGCAGGACTAATTATTTCCCACTACTAAGTCAGACTCCGTCTGAATACTCCAACCAATGTAGAATTTTTCCATTCTGTGAATTAATTTTCCACCCTGGCCAGTTAGAATATAAATTATTCTTAGTCCTATGTGAATGTTGAGATGATTTCTCTGTTCTTTTCAGGTTCTTTCCATAGCCTCAGGTAGTTTCCTTAGATGTCTGTGCCAATCAACATTCAACTGCAGACTTAAGGAAGACTCTGCAAATCTCATGGTCTGCCCCTTTGTACAGATGTTTTCTCGCCAGTATTCTGTGATATGAATTCTAGCTGCCTTAGACTTACCAGTCACCTACTTTTGCCTCCTAAACTCAGAGATACCTTCATGCTTCACCTGGATTACCTCTGAAAAGTAGCTCAAAAGTATCTTCAGGCTATAATCCAGCATAATCACAGTGTTCACTTCATTTGTCTCTCCTCTCTAAAGGAACACTGTTCTGATAACCAATATATGAAAATGTGTTTTAACTAACTTCATTTCATTTTGTAGTTGTTTCAGTCAGATAGGAAAATATAGACTCTATTACTCTATCCTGGCTTAAAATGAAAATTCCCCAGAGATGTTCCAATTATTTGAAGAAATTTTTGTTGTCTTTTTGCAAGCCTTCCTATGGTTTGAATACTTGTGTCCCTCCAAAATTCATGCTGAAATGTAATCTCCAATGCAACATTATTAAGAAATGAGTCCTTAGGAGATGATTAGGCCAGGAGGGCTTTGTCCTCCTGGATTGGATTAGTACCTGAAGAGAATTAGCTAGGCCCTTTTGTCTTTCTGTCCCTTCTGCCATGCAAGTACACAGTGGCCCTCACTGGACACTGAACCTGCTAGTACCTTTATCTTGGATGTTCAGCCTCCAGAATTGTGAAAAATAAATTTCTGTTTATATAAATTACCCTGGATTCTGATATTTTGTTATTGCAGCACAAATGAACTAATACATAAATTGGTACCAAGAAGTTAGGTATTTCTATAATAAACACCTAGAAAAATGAAAGCAGCTTTGGAACTGGGTGATAGCTACAGGTTGAACCATAAAGTGCTATCTTGGGGAGAGCTCAGAAGAAAAGGAAAGCTGTAAAGAAAGCCAGAGATTAAGTGGCTGTGATTAGAACATTGGTGAAAATGTGAAGACAATTCTGATAAAGTCTCAGGTGAAAATGAGAAACAAAGTACAGTAGTCTTTTATCTGTAGATTTTTTTCTGCAGTTTCATTTACCCATGGTTAACTTTGGTTTGGAAATATTAAATGGAAAATTCCCTTAAAAAAACTATAAGTTTTAAATTGGTTACCATTGTGAGTAGCATAATAAAATCTCTTGCCATCCTGCTCCATGTTCCATCCTACCCTGGATGGAATCATCACTTTCTACACAGTATCCACACTACCTTTGCTACCTGCCTGTTAGTAACTTAGTCACTCTGATTTGTCTCAAAAATTATTCACAGGCCTCAAGATTTAAAGTTGTTTTCCTTGTGGGGTTTTAGACTTCCTTGGGACCTGTTACTGCTTTCTCTATTACTAATTCTTCCTTTTGAAATAAAAATATTTATCATATGTTTGTTCCACCATTGAGTTTTGGAAATACCTAACTTGTTTGATTTCACAGGTTCACAGCAGAAGAGCAAATTCCTCAGAATGAATTGTGCCTTGAGCCAAACCCATATCTAATTTAGATGAGACTCTAGACTTTAGGATTTTGAGTTGGACCTGGAATGAGTTAAGACTTTTGGAGTTAATGAGATGGAATGACTGTATTTTGTACATTAGAAGGATGTAAATTTTGGGGGTCAAGAGGTGGAATGTTATAGTTTTAATGTTTGTGTCCCCTCCCAAATTCATGTTGAGACTTAATTCCTAAGGCAATAGTTTTAAGAGGTGGGGCCTTGAGGAGGTTCTTAGGTTATGAGAGCAAGCCATCATGGTTGGATCAGGGCCACATGAAATGGCTGAGGGAACTGGATGGGTCCTTTTGTCCTTCCATCCCTTCTACCATGTAAGAACACAGCATTTCTCCCTGCAGGGACATGTCAAAAAAATGCCATCTTGAAAGTACAGCCTGGGCCCTTACTGGACAACAAGCCTGCTAGCACCCTAATTTCAGCTTCCAGTCTCCAGAACAGTAAGAAATAAATTTCTCTTCTGTATAAATTACCCATCTAAGGTATTTTGTTGTAGCAGCATAAACAAAGATGGCAGTACAATGTAAAATCTTTCATATCTTCCCATGAAATCTTCAGTAGAATAATCAGTTAATAACAAAGTGTGAAACGTATTTTGGCAAGACACAGACACTCTTCCTCCCACTTCAATAACTAGAATACAGATGTAAACTTCAAATTAATTTGCGTATCACCAGAATCTACAACTATATTTGGCATATAGTAAACACTTAATAAATAATTGATGTATAATGTAAAGGCAGCCATGGCTAAGAACTAAATATTCCCATACGTATATATAAACTCAAGTTTTCAGTTTAGTATAGATTTCTAAATATAATTTGTCATTAAGTTCTCTGGTTTAGAGTAATTAAGAAAATGTTAACACTTTCTATATCTACATTTGGTATACCTGTAGAGTTAATTATACCCCACCTTCCCCAGGCAGGACACTGTCGATTCCCTGATGTCATTAACTACGGATACAAACACAATCAAGAAGGAAAACTTGATAGGCATTCTGAGAAATTGCTTTAGCCGTAGACTGTTAGAACCACTCTCCCATCTACTTCCCACGGGGCTTCAAAAAGGGAAAAGCTCTGTGTAAGGTACAATATAGGAATAGTACATCAAGATACACCAAATTATAAACTTTTATGACTTTGTGACAATCTAAGTTACAATAATGCCGCATATAAAGCCCTTTTAATATGTATTTGATATGATTTATAAGAATACTTGGCTGGGCGTGGTGGCTCATGCCTGTAATCCCAGCACTTTGGGAGGCCGAGGTGGGCGGATCACCTGAGGTCAGGAGTTCGAGACCAGCCTGGACAACAGGGTGAAACCCCATCTCTACTAAAAATATGAAAATTAGCCAGGCATGGTGATAGGCACCTATAAGCTCAGCTACTCAGGAGACTTAGGCAGGAGAATCGCTTGAACCTGGGAGGCGGAGGTTGTAGTGAGCTGAGATCGCGTTATTGCACTCCAGACTGGGGGACAAGAGCAAGACTTTGTCTCAAAAAGATTAAAAAAAGAAAAATTCAGGCCATACGTGGTGGCTCACGCCTGTAATCCCAGCACTTTTGGGAGGCCAAGGCAGGCATATCACGAGGTCAGGAGATCGAAACCATCCTGGGTAACATGGTGAAACCCTGTCTCCACTAAAAATACAAAAAATTAGCCAGGCGTGGTGGCACGTGCCTGTAGTCCCAGCTACTTGGGAGGCTGAGGCAGGAGAATCACTTGAACCCAGGAGACGGAGGTTGCAGTGAGCTGACATCGCGCCACTGCACTCCAGCCTAGGCAACAGAGTGAGACTCCATCTCAAAAAAAAAAAAAAAAAAAAAAGAATACTCAGAGATTTTTACCTAGCAAATACACTCCTTAGAATTATTTTATAAAAAAGAATGAGGTATTATTATGAAATATTTAATAACAGTGATAAGTTAAACTTACAAGAATAACAATGATATAATATTATTAAATTATTAAAATTATAATGATGAATGCTTTGTGGCCACATGGAAATGGTTATGATTAATAAAGTAAAAATATAGAGAATACAAAAATCAATCTATGATGCTATGTGAAAATGTGTGTGAACATGAATAAGGATTGGAAAAGGAATGCAGAATAATAAAAACACCTGGTTTGTTAATGTGGCTACATTGTGAATAATTCTTTACAAACACACATATTTAGAGAAGAAGTTGCTATGCAAAAGGCTGTGTGCAGATCAAGTGTATATGTTAAGGCTAGGTTTAATGTGGGTTATATTTATAGATATGGAAAATCAGTTTTCATTCCTTGAAACCTCTCTCAAATTAATTCCTTATATATACCATTAGAGATTAAATTTTTTAGGTTGCATAAAAATATGCACATTTGTAACCCAAGGGTGTTTTAATTTGCATCTGTGCTTGTTGCAGAAGCAACACTGGTAATTTGCTACTATTTTGTGCAGTTAGCTCTTAAGGGCTTTGGAATCTTTATTTTTGCTCCCACTTTAGAATGCCCTAATCATGCCTGCTTGCAGTAGTTTCAGAATTGGCTCAATACTAGTGTAGAAAACAAGGGTGACTGATCAAGCTTCATTATTGCTTACATGAGCAGACAACTGAAGTGACAGAATTAGGACTAATTTAAATGAAACATGTGCCTTGTCTCATGTGAAGAAAATGTAAGGCTTACTGACATCATGACAGTTAAAATTATCTAAGGGAGTTGAAGCTAGATCTGGAAAAAGAAACAACCTCTATCATGGAATAAATAACCCAAATAGTGGTAAACATATACACAATACACAACCACACACACACTATGTATTTGTAAGAGCAAAAGAATTATCTCTAATCATTAAACTCATATCTCTAAAAATCTAAAATTAAAAAGTAATTTCCCAAATGTAGATAAGTATACTACTTGTGCCTTTATTTACTAAATCAGGAAATAAAGCAAATAGGCTAAATGATCTTATACTGGAGACTCTCATACTAGCCCTCTCTCTCTCTCCTTCCTTCTCTCTCTCTCTCTCTCACACACACACACACACACACACACAGACACACACACACATACAGACACACACACACACATACAGATAATATAGGCACAATGGCACAGCCTAGGAGACTAAAGCAAATGTCTTTCCAATTAAGATAATATATGGTAATTTAACAGTCTTTGACAAAACTCAGTGAACACAAAGAAGCTAAAGAAGTATTATACAACTGAGCATACTATCCTCCACTAAGAAAACTCCTTTTACATTGATACTTCATGTCTATAAAAAATTTAAATATATTAATGGCAAATAATGTAATATACATGATATATGTATGCATATAATTTAGCATACTATGCTTCACTAAGAAAGCTCTATTTATGTTGATACTTTATGTCCATAAAAAATTTAAATATATTAATGGCAAATAATTCATGTAATATACATGAACGTGTGTGTATATATGTATATAATAGAAATGTATAGATATATAATATACATATATACTTGGAAATTATTTTTATATTCAGGCAATGCATAAAAAATATTTCCATTTACCTTTTTACTTTCTTAACATTGAAATTCCCTGGCCTTCTCTTCTTAATGAAATGATTCTTTTGATCTCAGTAAAATAAATATATATTTCCATGAAAACCCTTCAGAGTTGTAAAAGGTTGAATAAGTTCAGAATTCTGAGCAGCCATCAAGGGCATATCCTTTGATACAGTTTGCCCTTACCATGTAATGTGGTGTCCCAGAAATAATAAAGTTAACATTGTCCTGTTAATGCATATAGAAAGTAGACATGAATTTTAGAGAACTTTTTCATGCATATTTATTTGGGTTTAAGGTAAATCCTAATTATTATTTTTATAGAGGATTTCAAGAATTGATAAGTTTCCATAACATACTTAGAGGTGTGCAGTGTCATAAATATAGCAAAGTAAGACCTCAGGTCAAGTCCTACAGGGCAAGCAAAACACACATCTTCTCAGCTACTAGCTTTTCTATTGGACACACCCTAAAAGTGACTAATTTCATCAGTGAACACCTTGAGCACTTTCTACATGCTGAGCTTTCGGTGTGTAAAATTAGAAATATCTCCAATATATTCTCATTTGGTCTATTTGCTTTCTGTTATCCCATATCTTGATTATTTGAGAAATGCTTTTCCTATTAGATTTTCGAAGATATTAATGTAGTCATTAGGTGCCTATAGCAGATATTCTTGAGGTCACTCCTTGATACCTGTGTGATCTTTCACAAGTTACTTAAACCTTCTGTGTTTCAACTACCTAATTTAGGTAACTCTTTAATACAGATGTAAAGAAAAGAGTGTGTATGCATAGTCTAGAAGAGTTGCTGGCACATAATAAGGACTTAATATTTTATTGATATTTCTTTCCATATTGTTGTTAGTGTTTTGCGGAACCGTAGATGTGTGAACTGACTGTTAATATGGTGTGTGATATATAAATCATGTAGGGAGGTAGAAGAGCTCATAGCAGTAACAACTAACAGACAAGGTAGATGGAGTGATGAGAAGTGGTGGTGGCAGAGAAGGCTTTCTAGGAGAGGTGACTTTTGAGATAAACATTAAAGATAACTAGAAGTTAGTAAGGTAAATGAGGCAGAAAGAGAGAGACTTCTAAAAAGTAAGGTCACAAAGTCTCTTAGTTAAGTGAGATATATCATATGATAATACGGTATTTGTATGATAATTGAATTGAAAGTTTAGTATGGCCGGGAAAACACTGTAGAATAGAAAAAAGGAAAGTGTCAAGGAAACAATAAGGCTATATCATAAATTACTATGAAATTTATGTAACTTGTAAATTAGCACACTGGGGAATCCCTGAATGACTAAAATTGGTTATACTGTCAGTTATGAATTTTAGAACGCAAGTTTTTTTTGAAATTTTATTGTCCTTAAGTTGAAGTGTAGTGTCTATGGTAATTCTGTTTACCCTGAACCATTTCTTCCATCCTTAAGTGTATCATGGAATTTTAAAAGTGTATGAAAACAACTGGTTACCTGGAATTGAGCAATCTCTCAGCCTAGCAATTATCTTTTCAAAATTATGAGAAAATTTCATCAGTTCACTAAATTACTAATATTGATATTTGAGGAATTAGAGTAAAAGTTGTAGAAGATGAGAAAATGACAAATATTAATTTCAAAGAAAGAAAACAAAATATCAGATATAGTCTTAAAATCAATCTCAAGATTGGTTCTAGAACTATTGTCTAATTGTCCAACAGTTTCTTCCTGCCTGCTGCACAGACAAAACCAATTCACTGAGACCATGGTATTGTAGTTAAAAAAGAGTTTAATTAATGGTAGGCTGGTCATGCAGAAGAAGGAGTTTTACTCAAATCAGTCTCCCCAAAGGCTCAGATGTCAGGGTTTTTCAAGCATAGCCTAATTGTCAGGAGACTAGGGAAAGGGTGCTGCTGATTGGTTGGGGATGGAATACTAAGGGTGTGGAAAACAGTCCTCATGCACTTATTCCACCTCTGGGTGGTGCCACAGAACCAGTTGAGTCACGAGTTGTGAGTTGTGGTAATGTCAGTCTGAAAAATATTTCAAAAGACCAATCTTAGGTTCTACAACAGTGGTCTCATCTATAGGAGCAACTGGGGAAGTCACCAATCTTGTGACCTCTGGCCACATGGCTCCTGAACAGTAAGGGATTGTAGAAATTCTGCCTACATCTTAGCAGAACTTAGATTCCTTGCATAATTCTAATTTTGTTTACTTTCATTAATCTTACAGAGGTGGTTTCAGCCCCCATATAAGGAGGGGATTAGTTTTAGGGAGGAACTGTTATCCTTGATTCCAAGTTAAACCATAAGCTAAATTCCTCCCTTAGTTAGTTTGGTCTACACCTAGGAATGATAAAGAAAGCCAGCCTGTGAGGCTGGAAGAAAGGTGGAGTTAGAATATTAGATTTTCTCACAGTCATAATCTTTCAAAGGTGGTTTCATTTGTTCAAATAATATTAAAATGACCATAAAGAACAATGATTCACTGGTAACTTGCACAACTGCTTTAAGAGTAAGTTATAACAGATTGAACTCAATTATTTCTTAAATTTAAGAGATTGGAAAATGATGAAAGTGTCAGAGGCTTTCACACCAGCGGGATTCCATCTTGCATAGGGTCTGGGTAAAATGAGACTGACACTTGCTGGGCTGCATTCATAGGAGATTAGGCATTCTTACAAGATGAGAAAGAAGGTCAGTAGGACTGGTTTCATAAGACACAGGTCATAAGATACAGGTCTGCTGATAAAACGTGATGGTAAAGAAGTTGGCCAAAACCCCTCAAATCCAAGATAGCTATGAAAGTGGCCTCTGATCATCCTCACTGCTGATTATACTGTAATTATAGTACATTAGTACACTAAAAGACACTCCTATCA
This sequence comes from Homo sapiens, assembly GCF_000001405.40. Taxonomy (NCBI): domain Eukaryota; kingdom Metazoa; phylum Chordata; class Mammalia; order Primates; family Hominidae; genus Homo; species Homo sapiens. The sequence goes on from NC_000010.11 coordinate 54,977,452, forward strand.
GTGCCATGAAAGTTTACAAACGCCATGGCAATATCCAGAAGTCACACTATGGGGTCCAAAAAGGGGAGAAACCCCAAACCTCAGCTCCAGGAACTCTCCAATCTTTTCCTGGAAGACTCATGAATAATCCACTCCTTGTTTAGCATATGATGAATAAATAATAGTAAAAATGCCCAATAAGCAGCCCTTAGGGCTTTTCTGCCTATGAAATAGTCATCCTTCATTTTTTTTATTTTCCAATAAACTCGCTTTCACGTTACTCTGTGGACTTCCCTGAATTCTTTCTTGTGCAAGATCCAATAACCCTCTCTTGGGGTCTGGATCAGGATCCCTTTCTGGTAACAAAAATACAGTGTCCTTTTGTATTTGGTATTCACAACATTGTATTTATCATAAAGATATTTGACAAATTCTTACAGAAACATTGTAAGCATATAGCACATGTTAACTAACATAAGGACATTCAGATAGAATAATTATCAGAAGGACAATATTGAAAACTATCTAAATTATGTACAATTTTATTCTTTGGGAAAGCCTCTCATAGCATTTAGTCAATTTATAGTCTTAGCCTAGTTCTTAATATTTCTTACCTATAACCTGAATTAAATTCGAGAAAGCACATCAATCATACATATGAATGTATATTGATGACAAAATATTTTTATAAAAACCTAAATGCATGAAATAATAATGTTATGACAGCCAAACTGGCTAAGGTGAAACAATAAATTGAAACTAGTAAAGGTAATATAGAGAAGGTAAAGTTTAGCACTAACCTCAATTATATAAGTACACAGGGAGTCTGGGTTTAGCAATTATACCTGTGAAGTAGTGGGGATTCAGTTTGGAATTTTAGTGATAGTCAAAACAATATGAGTAGACTATGTATTATAACTGGTAAAAATCGTGCATGTTATACGACTACTTTGAATGAGGGTAGAGATAATTTTACAATTATTATAATGTCAATAATGCCCAAGACTTGTATAAGTGTATAACAGATTAGAATATGCCACCCAAATTGTGCCTATTTGCATAAGAACTATTATAAGCTGATTATGTTGGGAAGCTGTAGACACAGAAGAAGCTTTAAAAACAAAGTTACCCTTTTGTAGGGAAATTTACATCTATGAAGAAAATGTCCATTTTTAAGTGGGTCTATCTCTCTGTTTTCCAAGAAGACTCACTAGAGAAGATTTAATAGATACTGTAATCAATGGAAAAGGCATTGACTTAAATCTGCATATCAAACTCTACCTTTTTTACCTGCTTTTTGGTCATCTTCCCATAATTGGCCCCCCTCAACATTCCTGTTACTTTGTTTTATTTGAGATGCTATTTAAGCCTGAGTTCAAAGCTATCTCTTTAAGATTTACTAATTCTTCTACATTTCTTCCACATCTACATGAGGTATACATGTTAGTAAAATTTTGCTCATATTTCTCTTATTAGTCTGTCTTTTGTCATAGGGCACCCCAGCTAAGAATTCAGAATGAGTTAAAAGAAAATTACTTTCCTTCCTCTATAAGTGCTATAATAAAATGAATTTATTTAATTTTAGCTACAATCTTGTGATGTAAATATTATTTATCAATTTTATAGGTGAAGAAACAGGTGCAGAGAGATTAAATAATTGCCCAAGGTCACATATGTAGTAAAGAACAGAGTGATATGGCTCCAAAGCTAATACTCTCAAGCAAGACACTGCATTTTTTAAAGGTAAAATGACCATTCAGAAATGATTTGTTATGGTGATAACAATGCTATATGAGGAATGGATAGTTGAAATAGAAATAAAAGTTTATAGAAGAAATTACTGAAGTTCATGGTAATTGACTTCAAATTATTTGAATAGTTCTCTTGTGAAAAGAAGCTGGACTTGTTTCTGTGGCTTCAAGAGGGAGACTAGGATCCAAAAGAATTTTATTTTCCTGCCAGGTGAGGTGGCTCACACCTGTAATCCCAGCACTTTGGGAGCCCAAGGTAGGCAAATCACCTGACGTCAGGAGTTCAAGACCAGCCTGGCCAACACAGCAAAGCCCCATCTCTTCTAAATATACAAAAATTAGCCAGACGTGGTGATACGTGCCTGTAGTCCCAACTACTAGGGAGACTGAGGCAGGAGAATCGTTTGAACCCAAGAGGCAGAGGTTGCAGTGAGCTAAGATTGTGCCACTGTACTCCAGCCTGGGTGACAGAGTGAGACTGTGTCTCAAAAAAAAAAAAAAAAAACCAGAATTTTATTTTTATCAACAGAAAAATGGATAAAGAAAATGTGATACATATATACAATGAAATATTATTTAGCCATAAAAAAGAACAAAATCTTTTATGGCTAAATATTATTTGGCCATATTCTACGTGTAACATACAATATGTGTAACATATTGTAACATAAAAAGATTTTAAATACTTTTTAATGCAATACTTGTCTAAGATAAATTTTGGTTAATGATATATAAAATTGTAGAATTGCAGAGTTCCAGGAATGAAATGTAGATAAATGTGTCTTCAATAATAGTGACAATATTTTGTAGTATATTTAACATTTGTGAACATCTGCAATTGCTCTCCTTAACCAGTAAATGGGCAATGATTGGTGGCCATCCATTACAGATTTAAAACCTTAACCCATTTATGCCTGAGGTTGCAATTTTTTGAAATTTTGCCATCAAACCTTGGAGATGACCTTGAGCAGTAGGATATAAATAACTTTCACATGCTTGGCATTCCAATAATGGAATACTAGGCATAATTAATACCAGCAAACAATCCATTTCAAAAGAAAGATTAATGTGCTCACAAAGCCAATTAGCGTGCTCTAAGTATAACATTTACACATATCTATATTTAATTTTCCTTGATGTATCTTCAATTCATCTAATGAAAAGAGAGTAAATACTCTTTTTTTAATTAAAAAATATCACCAGGCAAAACATTTCTTATTTTATTATATTTCTTATTTTATTGAATTACCATTAAGTCATTACCCCTAAACAGAAAATTATTTTCTGTTTTCTACATTTTCCTCTCTTTTTCAAGTATTCTGCATTTAGTAACATATTTAGGCTGCACATTTTTCTCAACCTATCTGGATAATTAACTATACACCCTAGATTTTTAACTCTCATTTTGACCTACTATATGTGGTAGTATATTGATACACTATAAACATTATCAAATTCACAAATTAGTCTCATTATGTCTTTTACTTTCTGAGTATTTTCTTTTGTTTGATTCTCTACTTTTCTTTATGTTACACTTTTCAATCAAATTCATTCATAATTTAAATTGATTTTTTTCAAATTTAGGTGTATTTTTCTATTAGGTAATTTAATAGACGATTTATTGATATTAAAATTGTACCGTGGCATACCATAAGGCTCTTGAGTTCATTTTTTCAGAGTAGAGAAATTGAATATAGAAATGAGTGAAAAAATCTACCTGATTTTCATAGAAAATTGCTCACAGAAAGAAAGTGAACTTTCTTTAAAACATGTATAAAATGAAACGTACATCTTATGTTGTAACCCAAGTTCATTTGGGCCACTTTGAAATGTGTTTCCATCCATCAAAGTTAAAAAAAAATGGGCAAAAAGCATTTAATACTTTCAAATTGTATCCAAAATCCATGAAGAAAAATATATCTACATTTTGATTCTCCTCAATGGGGAACACAAAGGAATGCTGCAACAAACAAAAACTCAAAACGAATCTTCTTTAGATACATTTCACCATCCCAATACATTTCATAGCAGTAGGTGAAATCTCCAGCTTCCTCCCCTTCTCTCGTCAATGTAAACCCCATGGATGTGTTGTTCACCAATTAAAATCCTTTTGTCCTTGCCATACCAAATTCCATCACTATCATGAGTCTAAATCCCTACCTTCACATATCTTGCTCACTACCCTACTCCCTGGAAAATTCTGATGAATACAATTTTTTATCTTGTATACTTCTATAAGGAGGTATTATTGGCTATTTTTGTATCCTGAAATCAACTATGATATAACTACTGGTTAGTTAACACAGAAGTCAGCACCTGCCAAAACACGACTGATGAAAATTTCTAAATGGTAGGGCTTACTCCATATCAAACCAGATTGCCAAGAGATAATAACGAAGAGATTTAAAATTAAACTAAACAAAAGGGTTTTTTTCTTTGAAAACTTGGCCTAATCGTAAGGAATATTTCTTGTGTCAATATATTCTCCATTCTTTCTGCAGAATCACAATAAGTAATATTGATGAAATTTGCTGCCAAGCTTCAGAGTTTGTTTGTTTACATGTTTACTTATTTTTCCTGGAACCCCCCACCTCCTTTAATTAATTAATTTTGAGACAAGGTCTCATTCTGCTGCCCAGGTTGCAGTGCAGTGGCCCAATCATAGCTCACTGCAACCTTGAACTCCCAGGCTCAAGCAATCCTCCCACCACAGCCTCCTGAGTAGCTAGAACTCTTGGTGCACATTTTGTTTTCCTTTTTTTTTTTTCTTTATAGAAGAGACTTCACTTTGTTGATTAGGCTCTTCTCAAACTTCTAGGCTCAAGTAATCCTCATGTCTTAGCCTCCCAAACTGCTAGGATTACAGGAGTGAGCCACTGCACCTGGCCTGCCTAGAACGTTGGATTTACAGATGATCTTATCCTTACTTCAGAGCCGTTCAAAAAACAAAGCTGTTATAAATAAACAGCAATTATGCATAGGGTATCTTTCAATAAAGAGACGTAAAGTGATGATAATAATCTTGAACATTATTGAACTCCTCTTGTCTTCAATATTATATTTCAAATGCTAGAGGCAATATAGACACAATCCTATGGTTAGGGTACTTGAAAAACAGTGAAGATAAACTAAACAGTATGTAGAAAATTATAATTAAACCTAACATATGAGTAGCCTAGACCCAAAACTATATAGCTTCAAAAAGAGTCAAAGTTTATCTATATCAAGTTTGTAAATCAAGCAAGCATCAGAACATTATTCACTTGAGATAAAACTTGAAGAAGAAATATTATTTGCATAGGTAGGAATTATAGGAAATATATTTTAGAAGAGAGAAACACAATTTACTACTCATAATCTGATGATGATTAAAATTCAGGTTCACCTCTTGCAAATATGTATGAACTATCCTAGGGCTTTGATGAGATGCTAAAGGATAATGATAAATACATTACACAAAAAGAGTCCAACAATATGGTTGTTACAGTGAAGATTTTGGGCATTAGTAAAATCTTATAAAATCTACTTTCTAAAAATTTTTCAGCAACAACCTAGTATTAACTGCATAAGTTTTGCATTGCTTCTTTGTTAACCTAGCAATTTTACTGCTGATTTTTACCCTCAAAATGTAAGCATTATATTGATAATATCTAGCAAATATTAATAATTATGTACTACACATTGGCATTTATTATCAAACCCAATCTTCACAAAACCCCTGGAGCTAGATTCTATCCCTGTGTTACAGGCATATAAACAGAGACTCCAACAGCTTGAGTAATTTGACCCCCCAAAATAGAGCTAACATAATGTAGAGCCTACTTACAACATTCAGTCTGATTTTACAAGTTATGTTCTGAACAATCAAGGAATGATTTAAGCTTCTCTGAGTAGGCATATATCAAGTTTATTAGGAAACACAAACACTACCAATGAAAAGCCTATTCAAATACATGTTAAAACTAATTTAAATATTATAAATATTAATACTTGATTTATCCATCAAATCCTTTGGAAATTATAAGCTAATTTTATCTCAACTGTTACTTTAGGTACTTGTCACCTTAGCATAATCAAATAAGACTAAGAGAACAATCAGGTAGTTCTTAGGCTGATCTTGTTATTTCTGAACAATATGATGGTTCAGTTCTATGTGAAGGTCAAAATAATATAAAAATTGACCAATAGTGTGTAAACCTTGTCATGAAAAAAAATTTTAAATGTATGCTGACAGTAAATGTATGCTGACATCATGCATGGTGAGTGACTCACAATTTTGTACTACATAAGACCAGAGGAAATAGAGCTTAGCAAGTTATTTGTCCTGGAGACAACTAAGTGTTCTTGGAATAACCAGGCCTGAGAAGAAATAGTAACCCAGGGTCACTATTGATTAATTTAATTTCTATCCCAAAGTTTCTCAGTAAGAGTCTGAACCTATTGTTCATCTCACTAAATGTTATTATAACCTTAGCAGTTCATGTTAGTATGATTCTTAATCCTAAAGTAATTGGGAAAAGTACTATTAATGATGGCTGGTGTTGATCATCTGAGCTGATCCCAGATAGAAAGAAGCTATTTCTTTTGGTGGGATCAAATTCCTTGGGGCTCTGTTTGGCTACAAATGATTAAAAAGTGAGTTTATTCCCTGTCTCCCAAAATGTCTCTTCCACTCTGTACCTCCTCCCCATTCCCTGTAAAAACAGAGATAACACAATTGATAGAAAGTGATTCAAGTACTCCACATTAGAAAGTTAGAAAGTAGCATAAACGCTATATATATGGATTTCTGGAATTCCAAGGATTGAGGAAATGAGGAGGAGGCACCTAGAAAGTGTAAGTAGAGAATTATAAGAAGGGAATTAAAAGTAAAGGCTTTAGATCATGACTAGAGGTCAATTCCTATGAAGGGACTGTCAGGGCTCAGAAGCTGACACCCCAAAGTATGGTGGCTTGGCATGCTGAATACTTTAACCTGAAGATTTGAAAGGCCTGAGAAACAAGGTCCCTCTGATCTTCTCCTGCCCTCTTGTCTCTACCCCTGTTTTCCTCTTCTCCCCACAAGTGAGGGAAACCAAAATTTACCTTCCCCAAGGAAGGTTGAAGCTAGAGCTCCTCTCCCCACGCAAGTCATAACGGTAACTTACAGTAGTCACTCTCTCCCTTCTCCTTTTTCCCTTGGAGACTCTCATTACAGAGAGATCCTGCCCCATGCCTGTGAGGAAGAAATGCAACACAGAGAAGCCAAGAATCTGAACAGACAGGCCTTGCTGTGTTTCTCAGTCTGTTACCATCAGCATATCCTTAGTCCAATCACATTTTCTACATGGCTGTCCATTCTTAATTGAACTTAAGCATAAAAGTAGACAGCTTTTGGCTGGGCACAGTGGCGCATGCCTGTAATCCCAGCACTTTCAGAGTCTGAGGTGTGAGGATTGCTTGAGTCTAGGAGTTTGAGACCAGCCTGGGCAACATCGTAAGACACTGTCTCTACAAAAAAAATTTAAAAATTAGCTGGGCATGGTACATGCCTGTAGTCCCAACTACTCAAGAGGCCGAGGCAGAAGGATCCCTTGAACCAAGGAAGCAAGGCTGCAGTGACCCACATTCATATCACTGCAGTCCAGCCTGGGCCACAGAGTGAGATCTTGTCTCCAAAAAAATTTTTTTAAAGACAGTTTTCCCTGAGTCCTTTGGTCTCCCAGTCCTTCAGTCTCTTCTGAAGTCTTCTCTGTCACATGAAACTTTGATTAAGTAATTTTGTAAGAGTTTTTTCTTGTTATCCTGACTTTTGTTATAGGAGTATTAGCCATGACCCTTATGATGGGTAAGTAAAAGTATCACACCCTTTCCACCCTCCCAGGGCTTTGACCAACATTATATGACCTATATGTTAGGCTAAACCACGTGTAAAAATGAAGATATTAGAGTATTTTTTGACCTACAAAATGGGCAATTTTATATTCTTCACTCTAATAAATTAATGTTTAACATTAGATTTGCAATAACTAATTTCATGCCTTAGGTATATTATGGTATCTATATACAATTTGTGAATCTTAGTAAACTTTTAAGAAATTGAAAAGAGATATGGACTCTCAATAAAAAGGGATAGAAGTTTGATATACACATATATTCACATACAAATATTTGTGTTTATACTCAGATGTATGCATATATACATATGCATAAGTATTTAATATGTAGTATAGATGCTCCTTGACTTACAATGAGGTTAGAGCCTTGATAAATCCACTGTAAATTGAAAATACCACAAGTTGAAAATTTATTTATTACACCTAAGAGAATGAACATCATAACTTAGCCTAGCCTTGTTATATGTGCTCAAAATACTTACATTAGCCTACAGTTGGGCAAAATCATCTGGCAACACGTTACACCATAGAGTACTGATTATTTACCCTGATGATCAGGTGACTGACTAGAAGCTGTGGCTAACTACTACTACCTAGCATCAAAAGTGACTATTGCACAGCATATTGCTAGCCTGGGAATAGAGAAAATTCAAAATTCAAAGTAAAGTCTTTACTGAATGTATATCATTTCACACCATCATCAAATTGGAAAATTGTTAAGTTGAAGCATTGTAAGTCAGGGATCATACCTATGTCTCACATATAAATAGGATATTTATGGTTTAAAAATAATAATAAAGTGAACACACTTTTACCATCTCACAACAAACAGGACATGCCTTATTTGAATAGAATTAAAAGTTGACACTAGGTGGCGTTAGGCCTTAGAGTCATGTGATTTAAAATAACATAAGGCAAAATTCAACCTGGGGTTTGAAGTAGAGGCCTATTTTTAAAATCCTCTGTGGAATTTCTTTCTCTTGTCATTTTTGACAAGTAGGAAGAAGAAATTTGGGAGAATATCTTGTTGTCTTATGCTCAAATGCAATGCCCTGTATTTTTTTTTTAAATGAAGTGCAATCTTGGAAATGTGCTTTAGTCTTGCCCTAGCTAAAGAAGGGCATCAAGGGAAGTGTTAAGGGAGAGGCTGCACCCACGGGTACTATGCAGGGGATACACTGTAGCTTTCTGTCAAGTCAAATAAGTAAGGAGACAAAAACTTGAAACATGTAGGTACCAAGCAAGAGCAAAATACAGCCAGAAATTCATTAGGCACACAGGATTGAGAAAAAAAAAATATGACATATATCTGGAAAAGTACAACTCCAGAGGGAAAATATGTGAGTTAATATTTTATTTATATCTGATTTTGTACTTTTCTCTACTGAATTTTCCCACTAGACATAACTCTGAAAATTCAAAATAAATCTGTATTTGAATTATTTAGCAGGAGTGAGAGAGTCAGTTTCAATATCATTTTCAAGATGCTAAGTTAGTAATTATATTAATAGATAATGAATCAGTGCTATGATTATCTCCATTATAAAGGTAGGAAAACTGAAGCTCAGAAAACTTTCAACAAAGCCACATGGATAAAATGTGGTGAAGCTGAATTTTTAAGCCAAGCTATTAAACTTCCGTGTTGTGTTCATAATCACTGTTTTATAACACATTATTGTAACTACCGCTTTGATGTGCCTGTGTAATGCATCATATTTTTCTCATATGCATATCATATATATTTATCATGAAATTTTATCAGGAAATTTACATAGTAAAACTTGCCATCCCTAGAGTTATCAAGCAATAATCTATAATTTCCTGAAAAACTTTTTATTTTTCATTTTACTTTAAGTTTCAGGATACATGTGCAGAATATGCAGGTTTACTACATAGATATACGTGTGCTATGGTGGTTTGCTGCACCTATTAATCAGTCATCTAAGTTCCCTGCACTCGCCCCCCAGCCCCCAACAGGCCCCAATGTGTGATGTTCCCCTCCCTGTGTCCATGTGTTCTCATTGTTCAACTCCTACTTATGAGTGAGAACATGTGGTGTTCGGTTTTCTGTCCCTGTGTTAGTTTGCTGAGAATTATGGTTTCCAGCTTCATCCGTGTCCCTGCAGAGGACATGAACTCATCCTTTTTTAAGGCTGCATAGTATTCCATGGGGTGTATGTGCCATATTTGCTTTATCCAGTCTATCATTGATGGGCATTTGGGTTCATTCCAAGTCTTTGCTATTGTGAAGAGTGCTGCAATAAACATATGTGTCCATGTATCTTTATGGTAGAATGATTCATAATTCTTTGGGTATATAGCCAGTAACAGGATTGCTGGGTCAAATGGTACTTCTGGTTCTAGATCCTTGAGGAATCACCACACTGCCTTCCAAATGTTTGAACTAATTTATACTCCCACCAACAGTGTAAAAGCATTCCTATTTCTCCACAGCCTCACCAGCATCTATATTTTTCTGGCCTTTTTAGTGATTGCTATTCTGACTGGAGTGTGATGGTATCTCATTGTGGTTTTATTTCCATTTCTCTAATGATCAGTGATGTTGAGCTTTTTTTCATATGTTTTTTGGCCGCATAAATGTCTTCTTTTGAGAAGTGTCTGTTTATATCCTTTGCCCACTTTTTGATGTTTTTTTTTTTTCTTGTACATTTTTTTAAGTTCCTTATAGATTCTGGATATAAGAACTTTTTCACCTGGGTAGATTGCAAAATTTTTTTTCCCCACGCTGTAGGTTGCCTGTTCACTCTAACTATAGATTCTTTTGCTGTGCAGAAGCTCTTTAGTTTAATTAGATCTCATTTGTCAATTTTGCCTTTTGTTGCAATTGCTTTTGGCATTTTTGTCATAAAGTCTTTGCCCGTGCCTGTGTGCTAAATGGTATTGCCTAGGTTTTCTTCTAGGATTTTTATGGTTTGGGGTTTTACATTACAATTTTTAATTCATCTCGAGTTAATTTTTGTATAAGGTATAAGGAAGGGGTCCAGTTTCAGTTTTCTGCATATGACTAGCCAGTTTTCCCAGCACCATTTACTGAATAGGAAATCCTTTCACCATTGCTTGCTTTTGTCAGGTTTGTCGAAGATCAGATGGTTGCAAATGTATGATGTTATTTCTGAGGTCTCTTTTCTGTTCCCTTGGTCTATATGTCTGTTTTGGTACTAGTACCACACTGTTTTGGTTTGTTTTGGTTATTATAGCCTTGTAGTATAGTTTGAAGTCAGGTAGCATGATGCCTCCAGTAGAGTGGGCTGCTGCTATAGATACCCCAAAATATGGAAGTGACTTTGGAACTGGGTAACAAGCAGGGATTGGAACAGTTCGGAGGGCTCAGAAGAAGACAAGACGTGGGAAAGTTTGGAACTTCCTAGAGACTCATTAAATGGCTTTGGCCAAAAGGTTGATAGTGATATGGACAATAAAGCCCAGGCTGAGGTGGTCTCAGATGAAAATGAGGAAATTTCTGGGAACTGGAGCAAAGGTGACTCTTGTTATGTTTTAGCAAAGAGACTGGCAGCATTTTGCCCCTGCCCTAGAGATTTGTGGAATTTTGAACTTCAGAGAGATGATTTAGGGCATCTGGCAGAAGAAATTTCTAAGCAGCAAAGCATTCAAGATGTGACTTGGGTGCTGTTAAAGGTATTCAGTTTTATAAGGGAAGCAGAGCATTAAGTTCAGAAAATTTGCAGCCTGACAATGTGATAGGACAGAAAATCCCATTTTCTAAGGAGAAATTCAAGCCAGCCACGGAAATTTGCGTAAGTAACAAGGAGCCCAAATGTTTATCCCCAGGATCATGGGGAAAATGTTTCCAGGGCATGTCAGAAATCTTCACAGCAGCCCTCCCAACACACACCTGAGACCTAGGCAGAAAAAGTGGTTTCTTGGGCCGGGACCAGGATCCCCATGCTGTGTGCAGCCTAGGGACTTGGTGCCCTGCAACCCAGCCACTCTGGCCATGGCTGAAAGTGGCCAACATAGAGCTTGGGCTGTGCCTTCAGAGGGTGCAAGCCCCAAGCATTGTCAGCTTCCCTGTGGTGTTGTGCCTTCAAGTGCGTAGAATTGGGATTTGGGAACCTCTGCCGAGATTTCAGAAGATGTATGGAAACACCTGGATGCCCAGGCAGAAGTTTGCTGCAGGGGTGGGGCCTTCATGAAGAACCTCTGTTAGAGCAGTGTAGAAGGGATATGTGGGGTCAGAGCCCCCACACAGAGTCCCTACTCGGCACCACCTTATGGAGCTGTGAGAAGAGGGCCACTCTCCTCCAGACCCCAGAATGGTAAATACACTGACAGCTTGCACTGTGTGCCTGGAAAAACCACACACACTAAATGCCAGGACATGAAAGCAGCCAGAAGGCAGGAGGCTACATCCTGCAAAGCCACAGGGGCAGAGCTGCCCAAGTCCATGGGAACCTACCTCTTGTATCAGCATGACCTGGATGTGAGACATGGAGTCAAAGGAGGTCATTTTTGAGCTTTAAGATTTGACTCCCCTGCTGGATTTTGGACTTGCATGGGGCCTGTAGCCCCTTTGTTTTGGCCAACTTCTCCCATTTGAAATGGCTGTATTTACCCATTGAAATGGGTAATTTATTTACTCAGATGAAACAATGGACTATGGACTTTTGAGCTAATGCTGAAATGAGTTATAACTTTGGGGGAATGTTGGGAAAGCATGATTGGTTTTGAAATGTGAGGAAATGCCATTTGGGAGGGGCCAGGGGAGGAATGATATGGTTTGGCTGTTTCCCCACACAAATCTCATCTTGCATTCTCACATCTTGTGGGAGGGACCCAGTAGTAGGAGGTGGTTGAATCATAGGGGCAGGTCTTTCCCATGCTGTTCTCATGATGGAGGATAAGTCTCACAGGATCTGATGGTTTTAAAAAGGGGAGTTCCCCTGCACAAGCTCTCTTTGCCTGCTGCCCTCCATGTAAGATGTGACTTGCTCCTCCTTGTCTTCTGCCATGATTGTGAGGCCTCCTCTGCCACATGGAACTGTGGGTTCTCCATTAAACCTCGTTCCTTTGTAAATTGCCCAGTCTCTGGTATGCCTTTATCAGCAGCATGAAAGCAGACTAATACACAAAGCATAGCATTTCTTGGAGATCTGTTATGAAAATTGGCTTACTGAAGGCCTTAATAAACTCTGCAGTAAATATATCTGTGTAACTTTTTTTGTATCAGCATTTCCCATGATTACTTCAGTAGAAAATACCATTTTTTTTAAATGACACATCACATTTCAAAAAATAGTGCTTTAAAGGTATTAAATAGATTACTGGATTTAGAAAATGTCCCCTAAGCATTTTACAGTTCAGGGAATGTCTGGTAAGATTGCTTGACATATGGAATACTAAGTAGGAGTTATTAGACTCATCTATCTAGTTATAAATTTAGCTTCTAGCTATTTTTCTCTATTTTGAAAATCATGAATTAAAAATAAATAAATTTCATTGAAATTGGTTACCACTTTTTCAAACTCTTTTTCAATTTCTACCCAGTGTTGTTTGTGCAGAGATATTTTTAAAATTAGGTAATACATACAGTACATGTTTATATAAACCATCATTGCAAATTAGAAATTCTGAGATGACCAACAAGATGTTTATGTTCATATCTGTTGCCATTTTAGTCAGTTTTTCAAGGATCCTGGCAATATTCAAATCTCTCTTTATCCTTTCAGTTTTAAACTGGATTGGTCTCTGGTCAGGTGAATGACAAATGAATATATTTGAATGTTAAATAGAAAGGAAAGGAAATCCCCTCAGGATAATAATACTGTTTTAGTTTTCTCATAGTAATTTACAAAAGAACATTAACTAGTTCCAGTTGCCTGCTCCAAACTATTATGGCAATTCAAATCTTCCCCAATAAAATTTTAAAAGAAAAAAAAAACAATTCTAATTCCTAGTAATAATCATTTGTAAAATAATAAAGCTCCACAATATTTTTGTAAGTTTCTATTTCTTGCTTTGAAGTCCCAATTTACTTTCATTTCGTTTGCATTTTACATTCTATTGGACATGATTTTGAAAGATACTTTGTAGTGAATGCATGCTCAGCATGGATACTTATTTGTGAATATGTTGTTTAATCAATAGTATTGACCACTGTCTTTTTAAGAATGCTAGTTTCTTGCATAAAAAGCATTATTACCAACCAATGGGCATAATTTGTCTTCAACAACATTAATGTAATGTAACAATGATAACTGAATTCATATAAATATATTGTTCCACTTACTGAGTAGATGGATGTAATTATCTGAGGAAAAGTTCTTTTCTCAACCTTAGAAATAGAGGTAATTGAAAAAAGAGAAAAGCTGGGCATGTATACTGTATATAACCAAACATTTTACTTTAATGGGTCAATAAAAAGTAAATAGACATAAACTTGAAACTGAAAACCATCTTGGCCTTTCAAATAATTACTAATTTTATACACACAGGGTCACAGACATAATTAAAACATGGTTGATCAGAAGATGAGATTTCTGGT